>NC_000012.12:33345150-33497845 GCF_000001405.40 Homo sapiens | reverse complement strand
CCCCATTGCTTGTTTTTGTCAGGTTTGTCAAAGATCAGATGGTTGTAGATGTTTGGCATTATTTCTGAGGCCTCTGTTCTGTCCCATTGCTCTATATCTCTGTTTTGGTACCAGTACCATGCTATTTTGGTTACTGTAGCCTTGTAGTATTGTTTGAAGTCAGGCAGCGTGATGCCTCCAGCTTTGTTCTTTTTGCTTAGGATTGTCTTGGCTATACAGGCTCTTTTTTGATTCCATATGAAATTTAAAGTAGTTTTTTCTAATTCTGTGAAGAAAGTCAATGGTAGCTTGATGTGGATAGCATGGAATCTATAAATCACTTTGGGCAGTATAGCCATTTTCATGATATTGATTCTTCCCAATCCATGAGAATGGAATGTTTTTCCATTTGTTTGGGTCCTCTCTTATTTCCTTGAGCAGTGGTTTATAGTTCTCCTTGAAGAGGTCCTTCACATCCCTTGTAAGTTGTATTCCTGGTATTTTATTCTCATTGTAGCCATTGTGAATGAGAGTTCACTCATGATTTGGCTCTCTGTTTGTCTATTATTGATGTATAGGAATGCTTGTGATTTTTGCACATTGATTTGGTATCCTGAGACTTTGCTGAAGTTGCTTATCAGCTTAAGGAGATTTGGGGCTGAGACAGTGTGGTTTTCAAAATATACAATCATGTCATCTGCAAACAGAGACAATTTGACTTCCTCTCTTCCTATTTGAATACCCTTTATTTCTTTCTCTTGCCTGATTGCCCTGGCCACAACTTCCAATACTATGTTAAATAGGATTGTTGAAAGAGGGCATCCTTGTGTTGTGCCAGTTTTCAAAGGGAATGCTTCCAGCTTTTGCCCATTCAGTACGATATTGGCTGTGGGTTTGCCAAAAGTGCTCATTATTTTGAGATACCTTCCATCAATTCCTAGTTTACTAAGAGTTTTTAGCATGAAGAGGTGTTAATTTTTATCAAAGGCCTTTTCTGCATCTGTTAAGATAATCTATTAAGATAATGCATCTACTAAGATAATGTGGTTTTTGTCATTTGTTCTGTTTATGTGATGGATTACATTTATTGATTTGCATATGTTGAATCAGTCTTGCATCCCAGGGATGAAGCCAACTTGATCGTGGTGGATAATCTTTTTTTTTTCTTTTTGAGACGGAGTCTGACTCTGTTGCCCAAACTGAAGTGCAGTGGCGCAATCTCAGATCACTGCAACCTCTGCCACCCAAGTTCAAGAAATTCTCTTCCCTTAGTCTCCTGACTAGCTGGGATTACAGGTGCCTGCCTCTGTGCCCAGCTCATTTTTGTAGTTTTAATAGAGACACGGTTTCACCATCTTGGCCAGGCTGATCTTGAACTCCTGACCTCGTGATCCTCAGCCTCCCAAAGTGCTGGGATTACAGGCGAAAGCCACTGCGCCTGGCCATGGATAAGCTTTATAATGTACTGCTGCTTTCGGTTTGCCAGTATTTTATTGAGGATATTCACATCAAAGTTCATCAGGTATATTGGCCTTAAATTTTCTTTTTTTTGTTGTGTTTCTTCCAGGTTTTCGTATCAGGATGATGCTGGCTTCATAAAATGAGTTAGGTAGGGGTCCCTCTTTTTCTATTGTGTGGAATAGTTTCAGAAGGAATGGTACCAGCTCCTCTTTGTACCTCTGGTAGAATTCGGCTGTGAAGCCGTCTGGTCCTTGGCTTTTTTTGGTTCATAGGCTACCAATTACTGCCTCAATTTCAGAACTTGTTATTGGTCTATTCAGGGATTAGACTTCTTTCTGGTTTAGTCTTGGGAGGGTGTATGTGTCCAGGAATTTATCCATTTCTTCTAGAGGTTTTAGTTTATTTGTGTAAAGGTGTTTATAGTATTCTCTGATGGTAGTTTGTATTTCTGTGGGATCAGTGGTGATATCCCCTTTATCATTTTTTATTGTGTCTTATTTGATTCTTCTCTCTTTTTTTTTCATTAGTCTTGCTAGTGGTCTATTTTATTAATCTTTTAAAAAAACCAGCTCCTGGATTCATTTTTTTGAAGAATTTTTTTGTGTCTCTATCTCCTTCAGTTCTGCTCTGATCTTAGTTATTTCTTGTCTTCTGCAGGCTTTTGAAATTGTTTGCTCTTGCTTCTTTGGTTCTTTTAATTTGATGTTAGGGTGTCAATTTCAGAGCTTTCTCATGTGGGCATTTAGTGCTATAAATTTCCTTCTAAACTCTGCTTTAGCTGTGTCACAGAGATTCCCGTATGCTGTGTCTTTGTTCTCACTGGTTTCAAAGAACTTATTTATTTATGCCTTGATTTCATTATTTACCCAGTAGTCATTCAGCTTCCACGTACTTGTGCAGTTTTGAGTGAGTGTCTTAATCCTGAGTTCTAATTTGATGGCACTGTGTTCAGTTTCCATGTAGTTGTGTGGTTTTGAGTGAGTTTCTTAATCCTGAATTCTAATTTGATTGCATCATGGTCTGAGAGACTATTTGCTATGATTTCCGTTCTTTTGCATTTGCTGAGGAGTGTTTTACTTCCAATTATGTGGTCAGTTTTAGAATAAGTGTGATGTGGTGCTGAGAAGAATGTATATTCTGTTGATTTGGGGTGGAGAGTTCTGTAGATATCTATTAGGTCCACTTGGTCCAGAGCTGAATTCAAGTCCTGAATATCCTTGTTAACTTTCTGTCTCACTGATCTGTCTAATATTGACAGTGGGGTGTTAAAGTCTCCCACTATTATTGTGTAGGAGTCTAATTCTCTTTGTAGGTCTCTAAGAACTTGCTTTATGAATCTGGGTGCTCCTGTATTGGATGCATATATATTTAGGACAGTTAGCTCTTCTTGTTGCATTAATCCACTTACCATTAAGTAATGCCCTTCTTTGTTTTGATCTTTGTTGGTTTAAAGTCTGCTTTAGCAGAGACTAGCATTGCAACCCCTGCTTTTTTTTTTTTTTTTTTTGCTTTCCATTTGCTTGGTAAATATTCCTCCATTCCTTTATTTTGACCTTTGTGTGTCTTTGCATGTGAGATGGGTCTCCTGAATACAGCACAATGACGAGTTTGACTCTTTAACCAATTAGCTAGTCTGTGTCTTTTAATTGGGGCATTTAGCCCATTTTCATTTAAGGTTAATATTGTTATGTGTGAATTTGATCCTGTCATTATGATGCTAACTGGTTATTTTGCCCGTTAGTTGATGCAGTTTCTTCATAGTGTTGATAGTCTTTACAGTTTGGTATGTTTTTGCAGTGGCTAGTACTGGTTGTTCCTTTCCATGTTTAGTGCTTCCTTCAGGAACTCTTGTAAGCCAGGCCTGATGGTGACAAAATCTCTCAGCATTTGCTTGTCTGTAAAGGATTTTATTTCTCCTTTACTTATGAAGCTTAGTTTGGCTGGATATGAAATTCTGGGTTGAAAATTCTTTTCTTTAAGAATGTTGAATATTGGGCCCCACTCTCTTCTGGCTTGTAGGGTTTCTGCCAAGAGATCTGCTGTTAGTCTGATGAGCTTTCCTTTGTGAGTAACCCAACCTTTCTTTCTGGCTTCCGTTAACATATTTTCCTTCATATTAACCTTGATGAGCCTATCAATTATGTGTCTTGGGGTTGCACTTCTCAGCGAGTATCTTTGTGGTATTCTCTGTATTTCCTAAATTTGAATGTTGGTGTGTCTTGCTAGATTGGGGAAGTTCTCCTGGATAATATCCTGAAGGGTGTTTTCCAATTTGGTTCCATTTTCCTCATCACTTCCAGGTACACTAGTCAAATGTAGGTTTTGTCTTTTCACATAGTCCCATATTTCTTAGAGGCTTTGTTTGTTCCTTTTCATTCTTTTTTATCTAATATTGTTTTCCTGCTTTATTTCATTAAGTTGATCTTCAATCTCTGATATCCTTTCTTCCGCTTGATTGATTTGGCTGTTGATACCTGTGCACACTTCATGAAGTTCTCATGCTGTGTTTTTCAGCTCCATCAGGTCATTTATGTTCTTTTCTAAGCTGATTATTCTAGTTAGCAATTCCTCCAACTTTTTCAAGGTTCTTAGCTTCTTTGCATTGGGCTAGAACATGCTCCTTTAGCTTGGAGGAGTTTATTATTACCCACCTTCTAAAGCCTACTTCTGTCGATTCATCAAACTCATTCTCTGTCTAGTTTTGTTTCCTTGCTGGTGAGGAGTTGTGATCCTTTGGAGGAGAAGAGGTGTTCTGGTTTTTGGCATTTTCAGCCTTTTTGTGCTGGTTTTTCCTCATCTTTATGGATTTATCTAGTTTTGGTCTTTGATGTTGGTGATTTTCAGATGGGGTTTTTGTGTGGACCACCTTTTTGTTGATGTTGATGCTATTCCTTCCTATTTGTTAGTTTTCCTTCCAACAGTCAGGCCCCTCTGCTGCAGGTCTGCTGGAGTTTGCTGGAGGTCCACTCCAGAGCCTGTTTGCCTGGATATCACCAGTGGAGGCTGCAGAACTTCAAAGATTGCTGGCTGTTCCTTCTTCTGAAAGCTTCATCCTAGAGGAGTACCCAGCAGATGCCAGCTGGAGCTCTCCTGTATGAAGTGTCTGTCGACCCCTGCTGGGAACTGTCTCCCAATCAGGAGGCATGGGGGTCAGGGACCCACTTCAGTTGGCAGTCTATCCCTTAGCAGAGCTCAAGCACTGTGCTGGGTGATCCACTCCTCTCTTTAAAGCTGACAGGCAGGGATGTTTATGTCTGCTGAAGCTGCATCCACAGCTGCCCCTTCCCCCAATTGCTCTGTCCCAGGGAGATGGGATTTTTAACTTTAAGCCCCTGACTGGGGCTGCTGCCTTTCTTTCAGAGGTGCCCTGCCCGGAGAGGAGGAATCTACAGAGGCAGTCTGGCTACAGCAGCTTTGCCTAGCTGTGGTGGGCTCCACCCAGTTCAAACTTCCTGACAATTTTGTTTACACTGTGAGGGAAAAACTGCCTACTCAAGCCTCAGTAATGGCCGACACCCCTCTCCCCACAAAGCTCCAGCATCCCAGGTCAACTTCAGACTGTTGTGCTGGCAGCAAGAATTTCAAGCCAGTAGGTCTTACCTTGCTGGGCTCCATAGGGGTGGGCTCCACTGAGTTAGCCCACTCAGCTCCCTGGCTTCAGTCCCCTTTCCAGGGAAGAGAATGGTTCTGTCTCAATGGCATTCCAGGCACCACTGGGGTATGAAAAAAAAACTCCTGCAGCTAGCTCAGCATCTGCCCAAATGGCTGACAAGTTTTGTGCTTGAAACCCAGGACCCTGCTGGTGTAGGCATCCAAGGGAATCTCCTGGTCTGCGAGGTTGCGAATACCATGGGAAATGCGTAGTATCTGGGCCAGAATGCACCATTCCTCATGGCACAGTCCCCCATGGCTTCCCTTGGCTAGGGAAGGGAGTTCCCCAATGCCTTGTGCTTCCCAGGTGAGGTGTTGCCCCACCCTTCTTCAGCTCACCCTCTGTTGGCTGCACCCACTGTCTAACCAGTCCCAATTAGATGAGCTAGGTACCTCAGATGGAAATGCAGAAATCATCCGCCTTCTGCACTGATATCACTGGGAGCTATAGACCGGAGCTGTTCCTATTTGGCCATATCTTGCCAGCCACCTCCTTCTCTTTGAAATCTATTTTATCTAATGTAAGTATAGCTACTCCTGCTTTTTTCTGGTTTCTACTTACATGCGATATTTGTTTCCATTACTTTATGTTTAGTCTATGCTTGTTTTATAGGTGAAGTGTGTTTCTTGTAGGCAGCAGTTCATTGGGTCTTAATTTTTTTTTTAAATCCATTCAGCCATTCTATGCCTTTTCATTGAAGATCTTAGCCCATTTACAGTCAATGTTATTATTGATAAGTAAATACTTACTCATGCCACTTTGTTATTTGTTTTCTCGTTGTTTCATGTTTTGCTTGTTCCTTCCTTGCTTCCTGTCTTCCTTTTTTGTGAAAGTGATTTTTCATGGGCATTATGTTTTATTTTCTGGTTTATAATTTTTGTGCAACTGCTGTGAGTTTTTTGATTTGAATTTACATGAGACTTGCAAATAACATATTACAACTCATTATATAAACTGATAACTTTGATTATGAAAACAGACTAACAAATAAGCAAAGAGAAAATTAGTAAATACATGGTACTTTAATTTCATCCCCCCCTTTTTTAGTTTTTGTTCTTCCTAATTATATCTTATTACAATATCTATGTCTTAAAAAGTTGTAGTAGTTACTATATTTAATAGTTTCATTTTTTAGCCTTTCTAGTAAAAATCTGAATATTTTATACACCACAGTTACATTGTTATAAAATTCTGTGTTTGTGCATTTACTATTACCAGTGAATTCTGCACCTTCAGATGATTTCTTATTGCTCACTAATGTCTTTTTCTTTCAGATTGAACAACTACCTTTAGCATTTCTTGTACGATAGGTCTGGTGTTGATGAAATCTCTCACTTTGGTTTGTCTGGGAAAGTCTTTATTTCTCCTTCATGTTTGAAGGATATTTTCACTGGATATAATATTGCATGGTAAAAGTTTCTCCTTTAGCCCTTTAAATATGTCATGCCACTCTCTCCTGGCCTGTAAGGTTTCCACTGAGAAATATGCTGCCAGATGTATTGGAGCTCCATTATATGTTATTTGTTTCTTTTATCTTGCTGTTTTTAGGATCCTTTCTTTAGCCTTGACCTTTGGGTGTTTGATTACTAAATGTCTTGAGGTAGTCTTATTTGGGTTATATCTGCTTGGTGTTACAATATAACCTTCTTGTACTTAAATATGGACATCTTTCTCTAGGTTTAGAAAGTTCTCATTATTATGCCTTTGAATAAACATTCAACCCTAATCTCTCCTTTCTACCTCCTCTTTAAGGCCAATAACTCTTAGATTTGCCCTTTGGGGGTTATTTTCTAATCTTGTAAGTGTGCTTCACTCTTTTTTTATTCTTTTTTTGGTCTCCTGTGACCTTATTTTTAATACCTGTATTCAGGCTCACTAATTCTTTCTTCTGCTCGATCAATTATGCTGTTGAGACTCTGATGCATTCCTCAGTTTATTAACTGAATTTTTCACCTCAAGAATTTCTGCTTGATTCTTTTTAATCATCTCAATAGCCTTATTAAATTTATCTAATAAGATTCGGAATTCCTTCTCTGTGTTGGATTTTATTGAGCTTCTTCAAAACAGCTATTTTGAATTCTCTGTCTGAAAGGTCACATATCTCTGTCACTCCAAAACTGGTCATTGTTGCCTTATTTAGTTCACTTGATAAGGTCATGTTTTCCTGGATAGTCTTGGTGATTATCATTGTTTATTGATATCTGGGCACTGAAGAGTTAGAAATTTATTCTAATCTTCATAGTCTTGACTTGTCTGTACCAGTCCTTCTTGAGAAGGCTTTCCAAGTGTTCAAAGGGAATTGATTGTTGTGGTCTAAGTCTTTAGTCACTGCAGCCATATGTGCATTAGGGCATAACCCAAGCCCAGTAATACTGTGACTCTTGTAGACTCATAGAGGTACCACTTTGGTGGTCTCAGGCAAGAGCTAGGAGAATTCCTGGATTCCCATGCATTGCCTCTTCTTCTCTTCCCTTACTTCCCCTCAAACAAATAGTGTCTCTCATTCTCCATGCTCAGTTGCCTGTAGTTGGAGGAGGGAAAATACAAGCACTCCCATGGCCATCACCACTAAGACTGTACTCGGTCACACCTCAAGGCAGCACAGTACTGGGTCTCACTCAAGGCCTGTGACAACTACAATATGGCTACCACTGAAGTTTATTAAAGACCCATATGCTCTTTAGTCAGAAGGTGATGAGTCCTGCCAGGCCTGGGTCTCTCCCTTTAGGGCTGGTTCTCTTCTGACCCAAGTTAGATCTAGAAATCCCCTCCAGGAGCTATGGCATATCATCAGGGACTTTAGGAGTCTGCTTGGTGCTTTATTGTACTGTCCTGAGCTGGCACCCAAGTTGCAAGACAAAGTCTTTTTTACCCTTCCCACTCCTTTCCTCAAAAAGAAAGAGTATGTCCCTGTGGCTACCAGAGCTGAAAATGTGCTGGATTAGATCTGAATCTAGCACAATACTGAATCTTGTCCAACATCCATGGCAACCGCTTTCTGACTACTGCTGATATTTATTCCAGGATCAAGGGTTCTCTAGTCAGCGGGTGGTAAATTTTGCCAGGACTGAATCCTTCCCCTCAGGGCCAGGGAATTCTGGCCCAAGGTGGGCCTAGAAAGGTCATCCAGGAGCTGTGCCTGGAATAGGGGCCTCAGGACTCTCCTTGGTCCCTTATTTTATTGTGGCTGAGCTGGTATCCAAATTGCAAGACAAAGTCCTCTTTATGCTTCCCTCTCCTCCTGGAGCTGCAAGCTGTGCTACCTGAAGTTGAGGGATGGGTGACACAAGCACTCCCTTGGCTATCACAATTGGTGCCTCAGTGGGTCATATGCAGGCCAAGTCTACTATTTTCAGGCCCAGAACAGTACCAGGACTTGCCCAGGAATTGCCATCCTTGTGGCCTAGGCTGCCTTTCAAGTTTATTTAGAACCCCAGAGCACTTTAGCCGGTGGTGGTGGAGCTAGCCAAAACTTAGGTTCTGACTGCTGGAATGGAAGATTTCCCTCTGGCTATACCTGGTCTAAATGCTCCTTCTGTGGATGCCATCCAAATTCTGCCCTGTATTGCTTTCTGCTGTGACAAGGCAGCATGGAGTTCCAATGCAAAGTCTCACAATCACTGTGCTCTCTCTCCGGTAAATACATAGATTCTCTCTCTGCACTGCAGAGTTGCTGCCAGCGGTTAAGGGAAGGTTTGTGTAGGTGATTCAAGACTGTCTTTCCTACCCTCTTTGGTGCCTCTTTCCTTAATATGATGTGAAAATCAGGTAATGTGATTGCTCTCCTGACTTTTGGTTCTTATGCAGATGCTTTCTTGTGTGGATAGTTGTTTAATTTGGTGTTTCTCTGGCAGGTGGGGGACAATTGCTGAAAATTCTATTTAGCCATCTTGCTCCACCTCCCTCCCATACTTTTCTCTTTGATTTGTTAATGTGGGGAATTACAATAATATGTTGTTTTTCATAATGTTAAATCATTCTTCCATTCCTAAAGTAAATTTAACTTGGTACAGTTGAGTTTTCCTTTTCACTTATTACTGGTTTGTTTATATTTTCCTTTGGATAATTGGACCTACCGTAATGATTAATTTTAGCCTACAATTTTTACATGTCATGCTCTCTGTATATGGTTTTGCTGGCAAGGTTATACTGAATTTGTAAAATAATATGAGAGTATTTTCACTTTTTAAAATATCCAGAATATATAGTAATTTTTGAATTAAATAGTGTATTTTTTAGTTTCTTGATTTTTTGGTCTTCCTTTAAATAGTGTGAAACTTTATCAGTCAGTTAAGCTTGATCCTTTTGTTTGTTTTTCACTTTGCTAGAGAGAGACTAGTGCTGCCTTTTCTCTGACATCAGTTTAGTCTTACTGCAAGGCTGGGCCCTTCTGGGACCAAGGTTCAGAAAGTGCCTTCAGACAGAAACATAAAGTATTCTTTGCAACTCACCTCATTACTATTTTCTCTCAGGGAGAATAGTCCTTTGATGCCTGTTGCCTAATGTCTGAAAATCACTGTTTGATGTACAGTCATGCATTGCTTAGTAATGAGGATATGTTCTGAGAAATGTGTTGTCTGGTGATTTTTCTTGTTTGAGCATTATCAGGTGTACTTACACAAACCTAGACAGTCTAGCCTACTACACGTCTAAGCTATATGATGTAACTTATTGCTCCTAGGCTACAAACCCATAAAGCATGTCACTGTACTAAATACTGTAGGCAATTGTAACACAATGTCAAGTATTTGCATATCCAAACATATAAAGGTGCAATAAAAATACAATATTATAATCTCATGGGACCACTGTCATATATACAATCTGTCATTGACTGAAACATTATAATATAGCATGTGACTGCATTTTGTTTTATTTTCCAGTTTTTATTTTTATTTTTATTTTTTGCAATAGGAAGGCAAGTCTAGTACCAGCTATTCGGACATGCCAAAAGTTGAAATTTCCTGTTTCATTAAATTTTATGTTTATATTTTCCTTTTCCTTCTATTATTGCATTTGTTGTGTTCTCTTTTTCTAGCTTCTTAGGTTAGATGCTTAACTTATAGAATTTGAGTATTTATTCTTGTCTTTTATATGCATTGAAGACTACATATTTCCTTCAAAGTACTATTTTGGCTGCACTCCACATGTTGTAATGTGGTATATTAAATATATTGCTGAAAACTTTATGTGCATTATAAATTCTTCCTTGCTCTACAGCATATTTAGAATGCTATTTTTAACTTACTCATTTATAATTAACTGAATTACATAATCAGAGCATATTGTTTCTATGGTTAATGTTTATCAGTTATCTGAAAATTTTGAGACTTAATTTATGACATATTAATTGTCAATTTTGGTAAATATGATAAATATTCCATGAATGCTTAAGAAGGTTATGGGTTCCCTAATTTTTACTATATTTATCCATTTTATTAAGCTTATTAATTCTCTTATATTCTTATTAATTTTGCTTGATCTGTCAATTATTTAGAAGGGTATGTTGAAATATCACGATATTGATTACTTTGTCCACAAATGTTTATAGTTATGTCTTGTTTTTGCATATATTCAGAGGTTATGCTATTATGAACTTAATGCTCAGAAATAAATTATGTCTATGAAGACCTGAACCTATTGACATGATATTATGACCTTTCCTTAACAATGTTTTTACTTTAAAATGCATTTTATCATGATATAATGACTCAAAGATTCCTTAAGTAAAAGCAGATAATTTCAAATGACATTAACTTATTCCCACTTTACTTACCTATTCAAGCCTAAATAAAGCCTGATTAGGAGAGACTATGCCTGCATTTCATTTAAAAGTACAGGAAAATATTTTCCCATTGGAAATATTATATCCTTAAATATCAGACTCTCCTGTATCTTCCACTTTAGTATTGAACTATAAAATATTTTATGTAGAAAATGACAGAAATAGACAAGCACAGTCATACACATATTAAAATGCCCCATTAAAAATATCTCAAAAAAGCAAAGAATTTCAGTTGCCCTTCAATTAACTATCCAGAGAATATTTCATATTTGTGGTCAAATAGTCAGTACGTCTTTATACCTTGGTTATTTTTTAAATAATGCCTATCTATAATCTGTTGATTATTTCCTATGAATCAGGCACTAAGCTGTAAATTGTGTATGTATAATCTCAATCACTATGCACACTCGAGCAGGTTATTTGACTTTTTCCTTTACCTCAAATTTTTCATCTTTAAAAAACAGTAATATCAATCAGTCTTCTGAGTTGCTTTTTAGTAATATAAACTTCTGAGAAATGTACTTTTCTGTGAATATTCCTTTAATTAAGAAAGCCTAAGTGCTTTTTAAAACACTATGGTGTTGTATGTTTATACTAAATACATGTGAGTCATAAGAAAAACACAATAAGCCTTCGATTGTACCTGTTTTTAAAGGTACTATTACACACACACGAAACTTAGAATTTCCTCTTTAAAACTGTTTCCAAGTAATGAGACTGGTAAAAGGGCAATTTAATAGCATCAGTAACTGATGGGCTCATTGCCAGGATTTTATTGATCTACTTGTCTACTAAAATGAATCTCCTTTTATACCAATCATTTATTTGTGCTTTATTACTGTATTTACAGTTTTCCTCCTTTACTAAATGTTTTTGTATACTGGTAATTAGGCATTTTCCTTTATATTTTAGTTTTAATACAGGCTCTGGTCAACTTTCCCCTCACTGTCTTCCACCACCTCAACCAAAATCTGACACTTCTCTGGTGGCCCTGCAGGCACACAGTGACCCCCTCACTGGGACTTGTATGTGTAATAAATTTCTTCCTTCCAAACCTCATTCTCATTTCTTCCTGTAGCCATGGTTACTTTACCATACCATATCCAACATAGTCTTAGAAAATATACAATATACGATTTTTGAAATTGTAAATAAGCAGTTTGGGAGGCTTTAGATACGTAGACAATGTCTCAGCAAAGGCTTGAAAAAGACAAGTTTCAAGAGTCACAGTTACTTAGGCACACGAACCAATTAGCTTTCATCTAAAGAAGTATGTATGAAAGTAAGAAAATAGGAAATAAAGTTAGAATATTGTTTGTAGAACTGCTAATGAGTATCATACCATGAAAAAAGAGCTGTGTTTCTTCTTTTTTTTTTTTTTTTTTTTTTTTTTGGAGATGGAGTCTCACTCCTCTGTCGCCAAGCTGGAGTGCATTGGCACAATCTCGGCTCACTGCAACCTCCGCCTCCCGGGTTCAAGTGATTCTCCTGCCTCAGCCTCCCGAGTAGCTGGGACTACAAGTGCACTCCACCATGCCCAGCTAATTTTTGCATTTTTAGTAGAGATTGGTTTTCGCCATGTTAGCCAGGATGGTCTCAATCTCTTGACCTTGTGATCCGCCTGCCCTGGCCTCCCAAAGTGCTGGGATTATAGGCGTGAGCCACCGTGCCTGGAAAGAGCTGTGTTTCTTAAAAATAAAATATTCTATAACTCTACATTGCCCGTGTGTGTTGAATGAAAGAACAAGAAAGTGATCATTAATGTAAGTTAGGAAGTAATGCAAAAAGGAAATTTTAGTGTATGAAATGCTACTCTTATAAACTGAAGAAATTAAATCCATTCTGCCATGCATTCAGCTTTCTTTCAGATTACTCTGCAAGTACATGTGTCAATTTTTCTTTATCTTCTGCCAATCTCCAGCAGCTTTCATTGTATTTTTTTTCCAAAGCAGAACTATTAAAGGCTTTCTTCAGAAACAACAACTGGGCAGTAGTACTCCAAAGCACCCAAAAGAGTTAATGTGCAAAGCCTGTATGTACAGGCACAAAATCGGGGAACAGCATGCGACTAAGATAGCATTGTTTACCCTGCAAGTAATGCCCCTGGTCAGTGCTAATTAGAAAGACTTACAATTCTGGGGATCTTCAATCAATGGGAAGGATTATCCATGAAGGAATACAGTCACCCATGGAAGATGTTACGTGTCCAAATACGAAATATTCCCCTCAGGGAGTTAGGATGAGGCTCATTCACTCATGCATTTGGCAAATATGATTTGAGTTTTTATCACGTGCCAGGCAAAATTCTAGGCAGTGGGAATACAGCAGTCAAGTAAGAGAAGTTTTCATCTTTGTGGTGTTGACATTGTGATGGAAGAACACAGACATTAATCAGTAAGTATTTGAAAAGATACTACCACTTCAGAGAGTCATAAATGTTATGAAGAATGTAAGTTAGAATAGTGGAATTGAGAGTGATTGAAACTTGGGAGTTGGGAAAATAAGCTACTTAAGACAGGGCGTTTGAGTAATGCCTCTTTCAGGAAAGGACATGTGAACTGAGAAGAGACAGAGTTGCAAGGACACAGTCACAGGAAGATAAGGGAGGGATACACTGGCAAGTGTAAGGCTTGGGCTCAGAATCACATTCCCTTCCCCTTAGTTGAGAATTAGAACACCAAGGATGACTACCTATGGCAGAGATGAGTGGATAAGAAGGGAGGATTTAGAAACATGGTACAATATATTCCCTTTTAGAGAGCATGACAGGTGAAAGGTTGTAGTGTATCCTCCCCTAAGGAGAACAAGAAGATCTGAACTAACAAATTGGAATAAAGAGACAGGAAGACCGGATAGGGGAATTAAAGCAGAGGCTGCCAGAAGCAAGATGACAATTCTAAGTACAATACACATTTATTTATATACTTTGGAAAAGATGTCTCTCTTCTACAAGGCTGTAATTTTCTTAGAACAGGCTTTTTCTTATCCATTTTTCTATTTTTGATGTGGTCTATCATGCCCCAAAATGACCTATGATTGATTATACTCCTAAAGAATAAATGCTTATTAAATATCTGTAGAGAATAATCATGAAATAGGAGACATTTAGGTACAGGATATATGGAATTACACTCAGAGGTCATTTGAAAGGGAAAAATATATTGGGGAGAGTGGAATTAGAGTACAACCTAGACAGTGCATATTAGAGGCAATTTTGAATATTGAAGACTATTTTGAACTACTCTGGATGATCGTAGTGTCTCCAGAAATCTTGTGCAAAGTATAACCTTTGTCTGAGTTTCACTTTTAATTAAGGTTTGTATTTTTTCCAGACTCATCAGTGAGAAAAGAAAGAGCAAGCATACAACAGTAAGAGCCAGCATATACAGCACACCAGGCTCAAAATTAGTGGTGGCAAAGATAATTAACAGATAATGTCAATGCAATGAAGTGTTGTCACAAGATAACGGTCTCCTGCTGCTATATAAATGTTGAACCGAAGCCCATTTTTCAAAAACAAATGTCAAAGTTGAGATAGGAACTTTTAACCCATAAAATATTAACCTTTAAACAATGTTCTATTGCAATAATGTATTTCTGATGCAGTATACTTTGCTCTAAAAATGTTAGAAAAAGTAATCATTTTTAATAGGAATGCTACAAATGTGCCCTAACATTTATTTGCTGTAATAGTTAATGCTATGCGTAGTCAACTGGATCAAAATCTGGATGTTTTTATTTTTAGCATTTTAGAGATAATTATTTTAGTGTACTTTCCAGTACAACTAGCTGTCATCTTACTACTTATACAGGCACCTTGTATAAGCTCTACTTGAAAATAATGAAAGTCTGAATGGCAGGTTATATTCTTAATTATCAATAAACATGTCACTGATACAAATATTTTTAATTTAATTGTAACATTTTAATCTAGTACCTTCAATCGAGCATTATAGTTTGATATGCCTATTTTTAAAAAACGACTGTTAATAACTTTTTTCTTCTAAGGAATGTATTTTTTCAACTTCCAGATGATTCAAGGTAATTCACAAACCAAGGTGACAATTCAGTAATCACATGAATTAATATAGGAAGCTACTATAGCAGCTAGAGATACTTGTGTAAACTGTTTTATCTAAACTTACTTTATTAGAATAATTTTGTGCCAATTATCAGTTTATTTGTCTCTCAGCTGAAAACCCCCCTTTTAATCCTGCTATACAATAATGGAGGAAAACCTTGCAAAAATGTCTTGTCAGCGGCATAATCTTAAGTTTGTTAGTGCAGTGTAACTTCTGCAGTTTGTTAGTTAATGTAAACTTCTGCAGTGTTCAGCAGTCAGCAGCACTTCTCTATGAGCAGCTTCCCCCAGAAGGCACCTTTCAAACACACCACCGTGGGTGGTGGTGGAAGGGAGCTTCCCAATGCATGACCCTTGCCGAGTATTACCAGTAAGTTCCACAATGTGGGAACTCAGCAAACACTTCCACCACCCTTCAGACCACTGCCATCCTCCCCAACAAGGTCTGGATCTCAGTCCTGACAAGTAGGTTCTTCCATCTATGCCGCTTCCTGGGTCGCTTTGCCTCAGCTATAAAGGCAGGGGCTCCTCCCTATTTCTGCTCTTCCTGTATTCTTCAAAATTTTCTTTTTCCATTAGTAGGTAATCCATTACAATTAACGCTTCAACCTCCCCTGTTAAAATTACTCTGTGGTTTCTGTGTCCTAACTGGTCAGTGAATAATACAACTTTCCATTTCACCCCACCTGTTTATAAATGTTACCAGAATATTATGGCTTCTTTATAGATTTTCTCATTGAGGTAGGATTCATGTAATATGCAATTAACCTTTTTCTTTTTTGAGGTAGGGTTTCACTCTGTCACCCAGGCTGGAGTGCAGTGGCAGGATCTCGGCTCACTGCAGCCTCAACCTCCCAGGCTCAAGTGATCCTCCCACCTCAGCCTTCTGAATAGCTGGAACTACAGGTGTGCACTGCCATATCTGGCTATTTTTTTTGTATTTTTTGTAGAGATGGGGTTTTGCCACACTGCCCAGGCTAGCCTCACACTCCTGAGCTCAAGCGATCTCTGCCTGGGCCCCCCAAAGTTCTGGAATTACAAGCGTGAGCCACCACACCTGGCCAAAATTAACCATTTTAAAGTGTATGATTCAGGACATTTAACATTTCACAATGTTGTACAACCACCATCTTCCTCTATCTAGTTCCAAGACATTTTCATCACTCCAAAAGATAAACCTGTACTCATTAAGCAGTCACTCTCTATTTCCCCTCCCTGCCCCACAGGTCCCTGGCAATCACCAATCTGTTTTCTAACTTTATGTCTTTTCATGTGCCGATTATTTCATATAAAGGGAACCATACAATATGTGACCTTTTGTTTCTGGCTTCTTTCACATAGCATAATGTTTTCAAAGTTTATCCATATTTCAGCATGTATCAGTAATGCTGAGTAACATTCTATTTTATACACCACGTTTGTTTATCTATTCATCCACTGAAGGACATTAAGGTTGTTTGTACCTTTTAGCTATTATGAATAATGCTTCCATGAATATTCCTGTACAAGTATTTGTATGAGTACATGTTTTTAATTCTTTAGGATATATACCCAGAAGTAGACGTGCTGAATCTTAGGCTAATTCTATGTTAACTTTTTGACAAACCACAAAACTGTTTTCCACAGTGGATGCACCATTTTACATTCCCTCCAGCAATATACAAGAGCTCTAATTTCTCCATGTTCTTTTTGTTATTTTCCATTGTTTAAATTATAGCCATTCTAGTGGATGTGAAGCAGTATCTCATTGTCGTTTTGCACTTCCCTAATGCACATGATATTGAGTATCTCATAATGTGCTTGTTGATGATTTCATATCTGCCCTACAGAAATCTGTCTTCAAATCCTTTGCCTTTTTTTATTTACCTTTTATTTATTTATTAAAAATTGTAAAGATATATAATATTTATATGTATTCTTTGCCTAATTTTAAATTGGGTTGTGTGCCATTTTGTTGTTAAGGTATGTGTTCTTTAAATATCCCAGATAATAGATCTTTTTCAGATATGTGATTTACAAATATTTTCTCCCATTGTGTAGGCTGTGTTTTTGTTTTCCTGGTAATGTCATTAGATGGACAAAAGTTTTAAAATTCTTACATAGTCCAATTTATCTTTTTCATTTGTTGCTCATACTTTGGGCTCATATTGAAGAATCCACTGCCAAATTCCCTGTCATGAAGATTTACTCCTACATTTTCTTATAATAGTTGTACAGTTTAACCCTTCTATTTAGGTCATTGATCATTTGGAGTCGCTTTTTGTATATAGTATGAAGTAAGTATCAATTTTTTTCCCTTTTGCATGTGGCTATTCAGCTGTGTCAGCATCATTTGTTGAAGTGACTATTATTTCTCCTATTGAATGCACTTGGCACCCTTGTCAAAAATCAAATGGATATAGATGTATGAGTTGACTTCTGGGCTCTTAATTCTACTGTCTAAATGTCTATATTTATAATAGTACCACAGTTTTGATTAAGTTTAGCTTTGTAGTAAGTTTTGAAATCAGAAAGTGTGAATCCTTGAATTTTATTTTTCTTTTTCATTATGGTTTCACTATTCAAAGATCCTTGCAATTCCATGTGAATTCATAAATTGATGTTTCCATTTGCTGCAAAAAGAATGGATGTTTGAATTTTGATAGAAATTGTATTGAATCTGTAGATCACTTTAAATAGTATTACCATCTTGACAATATTAAGTCTTCAAATCCACACAAACAAGATGTCTTTCAATTTGTTTGGGTCTTCTTTAACTTCTTTCACCTCATTGGTTAAATTCACCTGTGGGTATTTTATTCTTTTGGATAATATTGTAAAAGGAATAAATTTATTACTTTCTTTTTCAGATTGTTTATTGCTTTTCTATAAAAACACAACTAATTTCTATGTGTTGATTTTGTACCCTGTAATTTTGATGAATTCATTCATTAGCCCTATTAGTTTTGGGGGGGGTTTCTATATATAGATTATGTCATTTATTTTACCTCTTCTTTTCTAATTTGTATTTCTTTTTCTTACTAGTTGCCCTGACTTAACTTCCAGTACAAAGTTGAATATCAACATTGAATAGGTATACTTGTCTTATTTTCAGTCTTAGGGAGAAAGCTTCCATTCCTGCACCATTTAGTATGATATTGGTTATGGGTTTTTAATAAATGTCCTTTTCATATTGAGGAAGTTCCCATCTATTTAAGTTTGCTGAGTATTTTAATCATGAAAGAGGGTTGAATTTTGTCAAATGCTTTATTTCAGTCAATTGATTTGATCATGGAATTCTTCCCCTTCATTCTAGTAATGTGATTTATCATATTGACTTTCTTATGTTGAACCATCCTTACATTCCTAGGATAATCTCTCTTGGTCATGATGTATAATCCTTTTCATATGCTGTTGGATTTGATTTGCTAGTATACTGTTGATGATTTTTGCATATTTATTAATAAGAGATATTGGTCTATTGTCTTCTTTTATTGTGGTGTCTTATTTTGGCTTTGATAATAAGGTAATGCTGTCCGATAGAATGCACTAGAAATTATCCTTTCAGCTTATATTTTTTGGAAGAGTTTGAGAAGAATTGATGTTAATTATTCTTTAAGTGTTTAGTAGAATTCACCAGTAAAGGCATCAGACCCAAGATATTTTTGTAGGCAGAATTTGGATTACTAATTCAATCTCTTTACTTGCTAGGCGTCTGCTTAGATTTTTAAATGCTTTTTCAGTCCATTTTGATAATTCGTGTGTTTCTAGGAATTTGTTCTAATTTATGTCTATAACATATAATTTGTTTCTGTGCAATTTTTTCAGTATCGCCTTATAATCCTTTTAATATCTGTAAAGGTCAGCAGTAATATCCATATTTTCATTTCTGATGGTAGTTACTTGCACATTCTCTGTTGTTGCTTTTTTCCTTAGTCAGTCTAGCTAAGGTTTTGTCAATTTTGTTGATATTTTCCCAAAACTAAGTTTTGATATCATCGATTCTCTCTGTTGTTTTTCTATTATCTGTTTGTGTATCTCCATTCTAATTTTGCTTCATTCCATTAATCTGGGGTCTAGTCTTCTCTTCCTTTTCTAAGTCCCTATGTACAAAATTAGAATATTGGTTTGTGATCTTTATAATTTTATAATTTATTCATTTAAATCTATACATTTTTCTATTAAGCATTGCTTTCACTGCATTCTGTAAGTTTTTGTATGTTATGACTTTGTTTTCATTCATCACCGAATAATTTCTCATTTCGTTCATGACTATTTCTCTGACCCATTAGTTGTTTAAGAGTGTGTTATTTGATTTCCATGTATTTGTGAATTTTCCAGTTTTTCTTCTGCCATTAATTTCCAGCTTCATTCCAAGTGGTCGGTAAAGATACTTCATATAATTTCAACCTTGTTAAATTTATTAAGACATGATATGTGAATTATTTTATAATCTATTGTAGAGAACGTTATGTGCAGTTCAGAATCATGTATATTTTGCTGTTGTTGAGTAGAATGTTTTACATATGTTTGTTAGATCTAGTTGTTTTGCAGTGTTCTTCAAGTCCTCCACTTCTTTATTAATCTTCAGTCTAGATGTTCTATCTATTGTTGAAAGTAGGGTATTAAAATCTCCAACTATCACTGTAGAACTGTCTCTTTCACCTTTCAATTCTGTCAGTGTTTGCTATATATATATATATTAGGGCTCTGTTGTTTGATCAGTAGATGCCTATAATTATTATAACTTCTTGCTGAATTAAATATATAATATCATTCTTATCTCTTTTAACAATTTTTTACTTAAATGGTATGTTTCTGATATTATTATACCTGCCCCAGCTCTCTCTGATTGAAATTTGCATCTTTTTAAATTTTCAACATATTTGTGTCTTTGGGTTTCAGTCTAATTGTGCTACAACAACAAAGTATCTTAGACTGGGTGATTTATAAATAATAGAAACTTATTTCTCATAGTTCTGGAGGCTTGGAAGTCCAAGATCAATGTGCCAGCACATTCCGTGTCTGGTGAGGGCTCCATTTCTGCTTCTAAGATGATACCTTGAACTCTGCTTCTTCCAGAAAGAATGTGTGCCATGTCCTCACATAGGAGTGGAGATGAGAGAAATCAACTTGCCTCCTCAGGCCCCTTTATAAATACCACCCATGAAGGCTCTGCCCTTACGACTTAATCACCTCTTGAAGATCTCACCTCTCAATATTATCATGTTGGTGATTAAGTGTCAACATACAAATTTAGGGGGGTACATACCATAGCATTCTGTCTCTGGCTCCAAAAATTATTTTCAGATGTAAATACATTCATTCCATTCCAATAGCCCCAATATTCTTAACTTGTTCCCACATGAACACGAAAGTCTAAAGTCCAGAGTCTTATCTAAATATCATCTAAATCCAATATGGGTGGGACTCAAAGGTGTGTTTCATGCTGACGCAAATTCCCCTCTAGCAATGTGATTATAAAATCAAGCAAATTATATAATTTCAAAATACAATGGTGGAATAGACATAGAATAAGCATTCCCATGACAAAGTAGAGAAATAGGAAAGAAGAAAGTGATACAGGTTCCACATGGACACAGGAAGGGGAACATCACACTCCGGGGACTGTTGTGGGGTGGGGGGAGCGGGGAGGGATAGCATTAGGAGGTGTGCCTAATGCTAAATGACGAGTTAATGGGTGCAGTACACCAACATGGCACATGTATACATATGTAACAAACCTGCACATTGTGCACATGTACCCTAAAACTTAAAGTATAATAATAATAAAAAAAAAGAAAGTGATACAGGTTCCAAGTCCAAAATCCAATAGGGCAAATCTTAAGGCTTGAGAACAATCTTCTTTGATTTCATGTTCCACCTTCTGGACATACTAGAGTTGGAGTTGGATCAGCAAGGCTCTTGGTGACCCCATCTTTTTGGCTTTGCTGAGTACAGCCCATGACACAGCTCTCATGAGTTGAAGTTGCATGCTGGTGGCTCCACAGTTCTGGGATCTTGGGAGCGGCCCCATGCCTACGGCTCCACTAGATATCACCCCACTAGAGGTTCTCTGTGGTAGCCCCAAGCCCATGGCTCTACTGAGTACTGCCTTAGTGGGGACTCTCTATGGCAACTTCACCCCCGTGGGCACCCAGGACCCCTTTTTGGACACAGTTCTGTCTCCTAGGCTTTGACATCCTGGGCCTCTGATGGGAAGTGCAGAGAGACACCAATAATCTCTGAAATGCCTTGCAGGGTCATTGCTCCATTGTCTTTATGGATAATATCTGGCTCTCTTCCATCAATACTAATTTCCTTGTCAAATGGTCACTTGGCTACACCCTTGCTTTTCTCTCTCAAACATGTGTTTTCAACCTGGCCAGGCTGAGAATTTTCCAAATCTTTAAGTTCTGGTTCCCTTTTAATCATAAATTCCATTTTTAATGTGTTTCTCTCTTCCCACATTTGACTATAAACAGTTAAGAAGAGCAATGCAGCACCCTGAACCTTTGCTTAGAGATTTCTTCCACCAGAAATCCCAGTTAATTGCTCTTAAGAGCTGCTTTCTACAAAGTACTAGAACATGAACATGATTCAGCCAAGTTCTTTACCACATTGTGGGTAATAACGATTGCCTTTCCTCCAGTTTCCAATAAAGTACTCCTCATTTTTTGTCTATGACATCATCAGAATGGCCTTTAACTGTTCATATTTCTACAAGCATTCTGATTATGACCACTTAAATAATCTCTAAGAAGATTCAGGCTCTCTGTACAGATCTCTTCTTCTGAGCCCTCACTAGAATTGCCCTTAACACTCCATATTGGGCAAAAATCTAGGCTTTTTGTAGTGTGGACCTCCAAATTCTTCCAGCCTCGACCCATTACTGAGTTCAAAAGCTGCTCCCACATTTATAGATATTTGTTATAGCAACACCCCATTTCTCAGTCCCAATTTGTCTTAGTTCATTTGTGCTGCTATTACAAAATATCTGAGACTGGGTAAGGATTTAACATGAATATCTTGTAGACAGCATATAGCTAGGTTATGTTTTTTAAAATCTATTCTGCTAAAATCTGCCTTGAATTGGCAAGCTTAATCCATTTACATTCAAAGTGATTCATGATAAGTGAAAATTAAGGACTTACTTCTGCCATTATGCTTTGTGTTTTCTAAGGTTTCTCAAATTCTCCAAGACTGCTTTCTTTTTGTGTTTGATTATTTCCAGTGAATCATTTTAATTCCTCATCATTTTCTTTTCTATATAGTCTCGGTAATTTTCTTAGTAATTTCTCTATTACAATTAAAATCACAAACTTATAGCTAGTTTAAATTGATACCAACCTAGCTTCAGTAGCATTAAAAAAAACTCTATTCCTATCTAGCTCCATCACCCCCTTTATGCTTTTATAGTCAAAAGTTACATTTGTATGCCTTGTGTGTCTGTATTAAATATTCATAATCATTGTTTTATACATTTATGTTTCAAATCATATATGATAAAAGAATTGTTACAAACCAAAACAACACTGTTTTACATTTATGTATGTAGTTATCGTTACTAGTTATTTATCTCTGTGTATGCTTCTGATTTATTATCTGGTATCCTTTAATATTTCTTGTAGGTGGGCCTATAGCAATAAACTCTCTCAGCTTTTGTCTATCCATGAATATATTAATTTCTCTTTCATTTTTGAAGAACAGTTTTGTCAAATATAAAATGATTGATTGAGAGTCTTTTTTCTTTCAACACCTTAAATATGTGGCCCCACTGTCTTCCGGCCTCTATAATTTCAAATAGGAGAACAAATATTAATCTTAACTGAGAATCACTTGTAGGTGATGAGTCACTTCACTTCGCTGCTTCAAAGATTGATTATAATGTGTCTCAATATGACTATATTTGAGTTGATTCTACTTAGAGTTCATTAAGATTCTTGGATTTGTAAATTCAGACTTTCATCAAATTTATAGTTTTCAACCATAATTTCTTTATATATTCTTTCTTCTTCTTTATCTCTTTCTTCAACTTCTGAGAATCCCAGAATGTTACGTTACACTTGAGAGTGCCCAAAAGATTCCTTAGGCTTTATTAATTTTAATTCATTATTTTTCCTTTCTGCTCCTCAGAGTGGATAAGTTCAATTGTCCTTTCTTGGAGTTTATTGATTCTTTCTTCTGCCTGCTCAAATATGCTGCTTATCTCCTCTAGTGAATCTTTCATTTTAGCTACTTTACTGTTTAGCTCCAGAATTTCTATTTGTTTCCTTTTTAATAACTTCTATGTCTTTATTAATATTCCATATTTGATGAGACATAATTCTTATGGTTTCCTTTAGTCATTGTCCATAGTTTCTTTTAGCTCTTTGAGCATACAGTTGATTTAAAGTTTTTGTTTAGTAAGTCCAATGTCTGGGTTTTCTCAGTGATAGCTTCTGTCAATCAACATTTTTTTCCTGTGAGGGGCATACTTTCTTGTTTCTCTGTATGCCTTTTAGTTTTTTGCTGAAAAATCAAAACTTTGAAAATTATAACATGGAAAATCTGGAAATCATATTCTCCCTCCCCAAACTTTATTGTTGTTGCCTGTTGAGGGCTGCTGTTATCCAATTGTTTAGTGACTTCTTAAAGCTATTTTTTCAAAAATTTATTCCTTGCTGTGTGTAGTCACTGAAATCTCTGTTCCGTTACCACAGCATTCAGCCAGTGACTTCACAGAGATTTCCTTAAATGCTGAAATTTAGCAGTGTTTTCTTTCATTAGGCACTTCTCTGGTTCCTACAAGTTTCCTATTAGATTAGTTTTTGTTAGATTCCAGCGTTCTGAAAAGTTGTTTCAGTTAGCTATTTTTCATCTTAATGTTTGTTTCAGTAGAGAGAGCTCCCTACTCTGCTATCTTTTAGGTTGTCCCTCCCGAATTGTGTTTTTTAACTGTTTCATACAAAAAAAAAGTTTAACAAACTAAAAGACAGACTCCATGAGCTACAAATGAAAATAGTTATTTTAATTCCATTCATAACTTACTTAGAAACATATTACCTTTAGGATCTAGGTGATCAATAAACTTTGCTAAACTATTGGATCTCAATAATGTTATCAAGCTATTTTCCATGCTTACCCTTTTAACAATGTTTTCTGAAAATGTATACAGTAGAATTTAAAAGTAGTAATATCCTCAAGCAGTTCTTTTTCAAATGGATCTGATGTTTTCTAGTATATTTTATTGAAATTAAGAATATAGTATCATATAAATAATCATTGCAAAAAATTTAAAGAAATTTACCATTTTGTTTAATATCTTCATGAGCACAAGTTTTTTTCTGGCTAGGCCAAGATTGGCCATCTTAAAATTTTAGGTTATAAGTGATTATAGCCTAACATTTCAAGGTTTTCCTAAAAAATCATACCACTCCTCCAGAGGACATGAGAAACCCACCTGAAGAATAGTAGTGTCACGCAACACAGACTAGTTTACCATAAAATTCTTTTTCCTCTACATCTTATTTCAATTCAAATGATAAATAAGCTCAAAAAGAGAATTTTATTTACAGTTATTTTTTAAAATTATATTCTATTTTGTTTTCTAGTGCTAGCCAAATCTGACTAAAACTATAAACATGATTATGTCTTAATGACATTCCTATTTACTAACATTCCCATTGCAAAAAAAAAGAAGCATGGGAAACATGTTGTTCATGTCTAAATGTCATTATTTACACATAATAAAAATACAATTCAAAAATAATTATATACATGTTTAAAATAAAAGCATTCAGAATGGGTGCTCTTCTTCAATTTAGTGGCTCTGCACAACTGATTTTTGATGTTCTTCCAGGACTCAGCTGATGGAACATAAGCCATTTGTATTTGTTCTCAAAAATGCTGTTTGTTCCTTTCCAACCAGGAATCTAACAAATTAACTCACGAAAATAATCTGGTCTGACCCATTAAATTTATATGCTCATATATAAATAAAAAATATTTGTTTTAAAAAATAGATTAACCAAATCAGAACAAATATATGCCAGAGCTTTACAAAATCCTTACAAATAGCAAGAAGCCAGAATTAAAGAAAATGTTCCCATCAGTGAAGGAGAATGAAGTGAAACAGCAAGTCCAAAATAAAAGTGTAGACAAAGGTGAATCCAATAAAAAATGATTAGGAATGTATGTGTAGGATGAGGGATTGGGCTCCTAAAGAGTGAGCAGGCTAGAAAATCAATTGACTCAACTAACTGATGCAATCTTAAAGTCTTTTTTCCCAACTTTTATAGTTTTCAGTCCCAGCCATGAATTGATGCCACCTTTATCACTTTGTGAAAATCCAAGTTTTGGGGCACTCCCTTGGGAGATTCTTAATCATGGTCTTTGGTATGATTCAGATATGGGTATTTTACAAAGCCCTGCAGGCAACGCTGATGCATGACCAGGAATGTATACTGCTGACTCAGCTGTTAGGATGTTCCATGTAAATTAGATAGATAGATAGATAGATAGATAGATAGATAGATAGATAGATAGATAGATAGATATCCTTATTTTTATATATCTGAACTCATTTCATTAGGCAAAATTCTAATCTCTGTTCTTCTGGGGGACTCCAAAATAGTATAAATAAATGCATGAATTTTAATATATTTATTGTGTGGGCTAAATTTTTATTTAATGATTAAATAAAAAGTAGAAAACTAGGTAATGTATAAATGCATCTTGTCAAGCCCTAACATTCAGTAACTACTTATTGTAAATTACCAAGTTTGCCCCAACCTCAGAGTCTTTGCCTAAAAAGTCAAAACTTGATGTGCATCAGATTCATTTCCTATTATTTCTGACATGGAAGCAGTATTTCCTTTGTCACAGCCTGCTTGGGTTTCTCAGTATAATTTCATTATAAGCACAAGGACCTTTCTTCCTCCTGATAACAAATAAGAATATAAATATGAATTAAAATCTAGTTTTGACTCTATTAACAGCTTAAGAGTAGCCACTTGGGACAGAAGGGTAACCTTAATTCTAGAACATTTGGAAGGGCATCAGTGTAATGATGAAGCAACAGTCACTCCCTGAATAGACTGACAATGACTCCTAGACTTTCTCACCGAAAAAGAGCAGACTTCCAAGGAACGGCTGCAGATACCTATCACTCTTAGAGGACAAAACTCCTGTTCATGCAGTGTAAACTTCACAGGTTTTAGAGTCTCAATAAACTATCTTTTTATTCCAGCCCCACAATTCCCAGTTGGGTAACCTCAGGCAAGCTGCATAACCTCTCTGTGTCTCTATTTTTAATTCTATACATTAATGATAAACATATGTACATTATAAACACACACATACACATATACATATATTTATACACACACACACACACACACAAGATCAATTTTTTTTCTGCACAAATAGGTAAATGGGGTTATGGTAGGAATCACCAACCCTGCATCTTTCAAGTCCTTGATGGTAACACAAATTTCTGCAATTCCTCCAGGATTGCAATATTGTCTTTTGTTTACTATTAGGTAGAAGCAGTTCTAGAGGTTTCCATTTGGCCTTTCTTACCACAATAACCCTCACCCCAGAGGTCAGGGAAATAATATGGGGAGTCTACCAGTTGCTGGGTACATCTATCCCAATTACACATTGTGGAACTGGAGAAACAACCACAGGATTGGTCTGTGGACCTGCTCAACACGGACACAGGCTTGAGCTAAAATTCCATTGATAACCTGACCCCCATAATCTCCTACTCTGACTCCATAAGCCCCTAACTTGACCTCCATAAGCCACTACTCTGACTGGTAGAACACAATAACATTTTGGGTCTCCTGGAATTAGAATAGATCTAGGCAGAAAGATAGATATGATAAATATGTTTATTTCAAGGAATTGGCTTATGGAATTGTAGAGATTAGCTAGTTTGAAATCTGTAGGGAAGGCTGGCAAGCTGGAAATTCTGGGGCAGAAGCTGAAGTTTCATCCCATAGGTAGAATTTATTATTCCTCAGAGAAAGTTGTTTTGCCCTTCTGGCCTTTCAACTGATTGGATGAGTTAGCTCCAAATTACTGATGATAATTTCCTAACCACATATACAAAAATACCTTCACAGCAATACTAGATTTGTGTGTAATTTAATAACTGGGTACTACGTGCTGGCCAAGTTGACACAGAAAACTAACCAATGCAGACCCCTACATTTGGAAGTGAAAATAACTTACGGGCGAACCATAAATCAACCTCAACATCTTCATAAGGTCTATGTCTTCTTTGTTATGTGATATTTAATTTATTGCTATAACTTATTATAGCTATAATAAGTTAACTTACTCTGTTTAAATCATTTAGATGTTCCATCTAATTTAGCATTAATGTTTACGTCTGTTTCCACAAACAAGTTATATTTTATGAAAATCACTGTAGGTCATTTTATCCCAAAACAAAAACTTTGGAAAATGTCATCAGCAGGTACATTGATATTCCAATATGAGAACAGGCACGAAGTGACATTAAGTGCTAAATTAATTCCCAAAACTTTCCATAGGTCACAGCCATCTTCCATGAAATTCTGATGTAAAAATATGGAAAAGCATACTTCAAAAAGCTCCCAGATTATTTTAGGCTTCATCCAAAATGAAGTGCTCTTCTTTTGTCATGCTCCAACCTATCCTGTTTATTTTAAACTCTTTATATAACATTACACAAGCAAGATCCTCCCACTTCTATATAATGGTCCTCCAATTATAATAACCAGTAATAATTTCATCTTGGATAAGCTTTTGCTCAAACATAGAGCAGTCTTTCAGTTTCAATAAACACTTACTGAAAAATGGTTAGCTCTGTGAAAGCAAAGATTGCTACTTTTTGACAGTTACAGTATCCCCAGTTCCTGAGACCTTCCTTAGCACGAAAAGGATATTCAATTAAATTTTTTGGATTTTTTCATATATCAGCTTTATTAAGATGTAATTCACATACCATAACATTCAACCTTTTAAAGATAAAGTTGGTGGATTTTAAGTATAATCACACATTGTGCAAACATCACCTTTACATAATTTTTAAAAACTTTCATCACCCCATAAAGGAAGCCCCAAATCCATTAGTGGTTGCTCCTCATCTCCTTGGTTTGCTCTCCCGCAAGACTCTGAAAGCCACTCATCTACTTTCTGTCTCTACAGATTTACATATTCTGGATATTTCACATGAATAAAATCATACAATGTGTGGTCTTTTGTCACTGGCACCTTTCACTTAACATTTACAAAGTTCGTTCATATTGTAAAATATATCAATATGTACTCAATTTTATTGCTGAATAATATTCTAGGGTAAGGATATACGATATTTGTTTATCCATTCATCAATCAATAGATGTCACTACTTTTTGGCCACTAGGAATAATGATGCTGTGATTATTAGCGTGTACAGGCTTTTGTGTGAACACGTTTTCCATTCTTTTGAGTTGATACCTAGGAGGGGAATTTCTGGTAATATGATAACACTGTGGTAAACATTTGAGGAACTTCCAAACTGCATTCCAAAGTAACTGTACTATTTACATTCTTTGTCTATTTGGTTCAATGTTATATCTCCAGCATTTAGAACACTGTCTACTTGGTCTCAATAAATATATATTGAATTAATTAATGAATAGCAAACATGATTCTTGTAAGTATTAACAAATTCTCAATATAACAAATGAATGTCAACCACTTATTTAAAATAAGAAGTAAGGAGGCATCCCTGATCTCATTCTCATTATCTAAAGCAGAAAGGAATCTCAGGATAGTTACCTACAGCTCAGAAGTATTCATCTCAAAGAATAATCCTTATGAACATAATTTTTTCAAATATACAGGGATTACACAAAGTAACGAGCAGATATATCATGATTTATTCACATTTAAAACAGATCAGCTTGGTTGATATTTATGTCAACAAAACCAAGGTGATAAGTTTTAGCTTATACAAAAGTGGTGGTTTTCTTTCTCTCTAAGCAGTGGCCACGTACTGCATTCCTCTTTCTTTTTTTTAAATTTTTTATTATACTTTGAGTTCTGTGGTACATGTGCAGAACGTGCAGGTTTGTTACATAGGTATACACATGCCATGGTGGTTTGCTGAACCCATCAACCTGTCATCTACATTAGGTATTTCTCCTAATGCTATCCCTCTCCCAGCCCCCTACACCCCAACAGGCCCTGGTGTGTGATGTGCCCCCCTCCCACGGTGTCCATGTGTTCTCATCGTTCAACCCCCACTTATGAGTGACAACATACGGTGTTTGGTTTTCTCTTCTTGTGTTAGTTTGCTGAGAATGATGGTTTCCAGCTTCATCCATGTCCCTGCAAAGGGCATGAACCTATATTTTTTTACAGCTGCATAGTATTGCATGGTGTATATGTGCCAAATTTTCTTTATCCAGTCTATCATTGATGGGCATTTGGGTTGGTTCCAAGTCTTTGCTGTTGTGAGTAGTGCTGCAATAAACATATGTGTGCATGTGTCTTTATAGGAGAATTATTTATAATCCTTTGGTATATACCCAGTAATGGGACTGCTGAGTCAAATGGTCTTTCTGGTTCCAGATCCTTGGGGAATCACCACACTGTCTTCAACAGCAGTTGAACTAATTTACACTCCCACCAACAGTATAAAAGAATTCCTATTTCTCCACATCCTCTCCAGCATCTGTTATTTCCTGACTTTTTAATGATCGCCATTCTAACTGGTGTGAGATGGTATCTCGCTGTGGTTTTGATTTGCATTTCTCTAATGACCAGTGATGACGAGTTTTTTTTCATATATTTGTTGGCTGCATAAATATTTTCTTTTGAGAAGTGCCTGTTCATATCCTTCACCCACTTTTTGATGGGGTTGTTTTTTTCTTGTAAATTTGTTTAAGTTCTTCATAGATTCTGGATATTAGCCCTTTGTCAGATCGATATATTGCAAAATTTTTCTCCCATTCTGTAGGTTGCCTGTTCACTCTGCTGATAGTTTCCTTTGCTGTGCAGAAGCTCTTTAGTTTAATTAGATCCCATTTGTCAATTTTGGCTTTTGTTGCTGTTGCTTTTGGTGTTTTAGTCATGAAGTCTTTGCCCATGCCTATGTCCTGAATGGTATTGCCTAGCTTTTCTTCTAGGTTTTTTATGGTTTTAGGTCTTACATTTAAGTCTTTAATCCACCTTGAGTTAATTTTTGTATAAGGTGTAAGGAAGGGGTCTAGTTTCAGCTTTCTGCATATGGCTAGCCAGATTTCCCAACACCATTTATTAAATAGGGAATGCTTTCCCCATTGCTTGTTTTTGTCAGGTTTGTCAAAGATCAGATGGTTGTAGATGTGTGGCATTATTTTTGAGGCCGGTGTTCTGTTCCATTACTCTATATATCTGTTTTGGTACCAGTACCATGCTGTTTTGGTTACTGTAGCCTTGTAGTATAGTTTGAAGGCAGGTAGCATGATGCCTCCAGCTTTGCTATTTTTGCTTTGGATTGTCTTGGCTATATGGGCTCTTTTCGGGTTCCATATGAAATTTAAAGTAGTTTTTTTCTAATTCTGTGAAGAAAGTCAATGGTAGCTTAATGAGGATAGCATTGAATCTATAAATTACTTTGGGCAATATGGCCATTTTCATGATATTGTTTCTTCCTATCCATGAGCATGGAATGTTTTTCCATTTGTTTGTGTCCTCCCTTATGTCCTTGAGCAGTGGGGTTTGTAGTTCTCAAAGAGGTCCTTCACATCCCTTGTAAGTTGTATTCCTAGGTATTTTATTCTCTTTGTAGCAATTGTGAATGGGAGTTCACTCATGATTTGGCTCTCTATTATTGGTGTATAGGAATGCTTGTGATTTTGGCACACTGATTTTGTATCCTGAGACTTTGCTGAAGTTGCTTATCAGCTTAAGGAGATTTTGGGCTGAGACAGTGGGGTTTTCTAAATATACAATCATGTCATCTGCAAACAGAGACAATTTGACTTCCTCTTTTCCAAATTGAATACCATTTATTTCTTTCTCTTGCCTGATTGCCCTGGCCAGAACTTCCAATACTATGTTGAATAAGAGTGTTGAGACAGGGCATCCTTGTCTTTTGCCAGGTTTCAAAGGAAATGCTTCCAGCTTTTGCCCATTCAATATGTTATTGGCTGTGGGTTTGACATAAATAGCTCTTATTATTTTGAGGTACATTCCATCTATACCTAGTTTATTGAGAGTTTTTAGCATGAAGGGCTGTTGAATCTTGTCGAAGGCCGTTTCTGCCTCTATTGAGATAATCATGTGGTTTTTGTCATTGGTTTTGTTTATGTGATGGATTACATTTATTGATTTGCATATGTTAAGCCAGCCTTGCATCCCAGGGATGAAGCCAACTTGATAGCGGTGGATAAGCTTTTTGATGTGCTGCTGGATTCGGTTTGCCAGTATTTTATTGAGGATTTTCGTATGGATGTTCATCAGGGATATTGGCCTGAAATTTGCCTTCCTTCTTGTGTCTCTGCCAGGTTTTGGTATCAGGATGATGCTAGCCTCATAAAATGAGTTAGGGAGGATTCCCTCTTTTTCTATTGTTTGGAATAGTTTCAGATAGAATGGTACCAGCTCCTCTTTGTACCTCTGGTAGAATTTGGCTGTGTATCCTTCTGGTCCTGGACTCTTTTTGGTTGGTAGGCTATTAATTACTGCCTCAATTTCAGAACTTGTTATCGGTCTATTTAGGAATTTGACTTCTTCCTGGTTTAGTCTTGGGAGGGTGCATGTGTCCAGGAATTTATCCATTTCATCTAGATTTTTTAGTTCATTTGCATAGAGGTGTTTATAGTATTCTCTGATGGTAGTTTCTATTTCTTTAAGATTGGTGGTGATATCCCCTTCGTCATTTTTATTGTGTCTGTTTGATTCTTCTCCCTTTTCTTCTTTTTTTATTCTGGCTAGCAGTCTATCTATTTTGTTGATCTTTTCCAAAAACCAGCTCCTGGATTCACTGATTTTTTGAAGGTTTTCTTCATGTCTCTATCTCCTTCAGTTCTGCTCTGGTCTTAGTTATTTCTTGTCTTCTGCTAGCTTTTGAAATTGTTTGCTCTTGCTTCTCTAGTTCTTTTAATTGTGGTGTTAGGGTGTCAATTTTAGATCTTTCCTGCTTTCTCTTGTGGGCATTTAATGCTACAAATTTCCCTCTACACACTGCTTTAAATGTGTCCCAGAGAACAAAGGTTCTCATTGGTTTCAAAGAACATCTTTATTTCTGTCTTAATTTTGTTATTTACCCAGTAGTCATTCCAGAGCAGGTTGTTCAGTTTCCCTGTAGTTGTGCGGTTTTGAGTGAGTTTCTTATTCCTGAGTTCTAATTTGATTGCACTGTGGTCTGAGAGACTGTTTGTTATGATTTCCATTGTTTTGCATTTGCTGAGGAGTGTTTTACTTCCAATTATGTGGTCAATTTTGGAATACATGTGATGTGGTGCTGAGAAGAATATATAATCTGTTGATTTGGGGTGGAGAGTTCTCTAGATATCTATTAGGTCTTCTTGGTCCAGAGCTGAGTTCAATCCTGTATATCCTTATGGATTTTCTGTCTCCTTGATCTGTCTCTTATCGACAGTGGGGTGTTAAAGTCTCCCACTATTATTGTGTTGGTGTCTAAGTCTCTTTGTAGGTCTCTAAGAACTTGCTTTATGGATCTGAGTGCTCCTGTATTGGGTGCATATATATTTAAGATAGTTAGCTCTTCTTGTTGCATTGATCCTTTTACCATTAAGTAATGCCTTCCTTTGTCTATTTTGATCTTTGTTGGTTTAAAGTCTGTTTCATCAGAGACTAGGATTGCAACCCCTCAACCCCTGCTTTTTTTTTTTTTTTTTTTTGCTTTCCATTTGCTTGGTAAATATTCCTCCATCCCTTTATTTTGAGCCTATATGTGTCTTTGCACATGAGATGGGTCTCCTGAATACAGAACACTGATGGGTCTTGACTCTATCCAATTTGCCATTCTGTGTCTTTTAATTGGGGCATTTAGCTCATTTACATTTAAGGTTAATATTGTTATGTATGAACTTGTTCCTGCCATTATGATGCTAGCCGGTTATTTTGCCCATTAGTTGATGCAGTTTCTTCAGAGAGACGATGGTCTTTACAATTTGGTATGTTTTTGCAGTGGCTGGTTCTGGTTGTTCCTTTCCATGTTTAATGCTTCCTTCAGGACCTCTTGTAAGGCAGGCCTGGTGGTGACAAAATCCTTCAGCATTTCCTTGTCTGTAAAGGATTTTATTTTTCCTTCACTTATGGAGCTTAGTTTGGCTGAATATGAAATTCTGGGTTGAAAATTCTTCTTTAAGAATGTTGAATTTTGTTCCCCACTCTCTTCTGGCTTGTAAGGTTTCTGCTGAGAGATCCACTGTTAATCTGATGGGCTTTCCTTTGTGAGTAACCTGACTTTTCTCTCTGGCCGCACTTAGCATTTTTTCCTTCATTTCAACCTTGGTGAATCTGACGATTATGTGTCTTTGGGTTGTTCTTCTTGAGGAGTATCTTTGTGGTGTTCTCTGTATTTCCTGAATTTGAGTGTTGGCCTGCCTTGCTAGGTTGAGGAAGTTCTCCTGGATAATATCCTGAAGAGTGTTTTCCAACTTGGTTCCATTCTCCCTGTCACTTTCAGGTACAGCAATCAAACGTCGATTTGGTATTTTCACATAATCCCATATTTCTTGGAGGCTTTGTTTGATTCTTTTCACTTTTTCTTCTCTAATCTTGTCTTCTCACTTTATTTCATTGAGTTGGTCTTCAATCTCTGATATCCTTTCTTCTGCTTCATCGATTTGGCTGTTGATACTTGTGTATGCTTCATGAAGTTCTCATACTGTATTTTTCAGCTCCATCAGGTCATTTATGTTCTTCTCTAAACTGGTTATTCTAGTTAGCAATTTGTCTAACCTTTTTTCAAGGTTCTTAGCTTCCTTGCATTGGGTTAGAACATGCTCCTTTATCTTGGAGAAATTTGTTATTACCCACCCTCTGAGGCCTACTTCTGTCAATTTGTCAAACTCAGTCTCTGTCCAGTTTTGCTCCCTTGCTGGCAAGGAATTGTGATCCTTTGGAGGAGAAGAAGCATTCTGGTTTTTGGAATTTTCAGCCTTTTTGTTCTGGTTTCTCCACATCTTCCTGGATTTAACTACCTTTGGTCTTTGAAGTCAGTGACCTTTGGATGGGGTCTCTGAGTGGACCTCCTTTTTGTTAATGTTGATACTATTCCTTTCTGTTTGTTAGTTTTCCTTCTAACAGGCCCCTCTGCTGCAGGTCTGCTGGAGTTTGCTAGAAGCTCACTCCAGACCCTGTTTTCCTGGGTATCACCAGCAGAGGCTGCAGAACCGCAAATATTGCTGCCTGTTCCTTCCTCTGGAAGATTTCTTGCAGAGGAGCACCTGTCAGATGCCAGCCAGAGCTCTCCTGTATGAGGTGTCTGTTGGCCCCTACTAGGAGGTGTCTACCAGTCAGTATACATGGGGGTCAGGGACTCACTTAAGAAGGCAGTCTGTCCCTTATCAGAGCTCAAACACTGTGCGGGGAGATCTGCTGCTCTCTTCATAACTGCCAGGCAGGGACGTTTAAGTCTGCTGAAGCTGTCCTCACAAGTGCCCCTTCCCCTAGGTGCTCTATCCCAGGGAGGTGGGGGTTTCATCTATAAGTTCCTGACTGGGGCTGCTGCCTTTTTTTCAGAGCTGCCCTGCCCAGAGAGGAGGGAATCTAGAGATTCAGTCTGGCCGCAGCAGCCTTGCTGAGCTGAGGTGGGCTGGGACCAGTTCAAACTTCCAGTGGTTTTATTTACACTGTGAGGGTAAAACCACCTACCCAAGCCTCAGCAATGGTGGATGCCCCTCCCCCCACCAAGCTTGAATATCCCCAATGGAGCTCAGACTGCAGTGCTGGCAGCGAGAATTTCAAGCCAGTAGATCTTAGCTTGCTGGGCTTCGTGGGAGTGGGACCCAGCAAGCCAGTCCACTTGGCTCCCTGGCTTCAGCCCCCTTTCCAGGGAATGGCTCTGTCTCACTGGGCGCCACTGTGGTATGAAAAAAGAACTGCAGCTAGCTCGGTGTCTGCCCAAAGGTGTCTGCCCAAAGGGCTGCCCAATTTTGTGCTGGAAATCCAGGGCCCCGGTGGTGTAGGCACTGGAGGGAATCTCCTGGTCTGTGGGTTGCAAAGACAATGGGAAAAACGCAGTATCTGGGCCAGAGTACACAGCACGGTCCCTAATGGCTCCCCTTGGCTAGGAGAGGGAGTTCCCCAATCCCTTGCGCTTCCCTGGTGAGGTGACACCCCACCCTGCTTCGGCTCAACCAGTCCCAATGAGATGAACTGGGTACCTCAGTTGGAAATGTAGAAATCACCCACCTCCTGCGTCGATGTCACTGGGAGTTGCAGACCAGAGCTCTTCCTATTCAGCCATCTTGCCAGCAATCCCACATTCCTCTTTCTAGGCAACTTAACATAGCAAAAGAATAAAGTGACTACAACTAAATCAGCTGAAACCACTAGATTTACTGGACAAAGTGCTCTGAGTTCATTGACAGTTTTCAATTATCTGTGTGTATCACAGAAAGTGTAAGTACATAATATTAAGGTGTTCACTTAAAAGTAATATTTACCCTATGTACTCTGGATACTTGAAAACAGTTCAGAAGCATGTTCTTGCTTTAAATTCATAGGAAAATTATATTACTCCCTCATTTACTATTAAGTTTACTAAGTGCTATTTATGCATGTGAATACAAGGAAGCACAGACTCTTTAATTTAATTATCAGACATTGATATGTTACTGTATTTTGAACACCAGACTGGCAATTGTTTCAATTTGAAACAATCAGCCAGCTGAAAAAAATCTAAAATCACTTAAACCTTAAAAATTTGTTTTGTTAAATAATTTGAATGATAATGAAATACAAGCTCACATGGAGAAACAATTTTCATTTAATATTTTTATATTGTTCCTTGCATCTAATTTAAATGAGATTACATTTTTCTATATTTATTTTGATCTAGTATAATGAAGTTCAAAGCAAAGCACTTAAGAAAGATATGCACAAATGTTCTCAGGATCAAAATAGAGAAATATGAACTCTATGAAAGTTTAAAGGGAGGTTACCACCATTTATTGAATTTCTGCAAAATATTAAGCATTGGAATCTGAGCTTTACATATATTACATCATTAATCCATATACCATAAAGTGTTATGATTCTAAATTAATAGAAGATACTGAACTTTTGGCATAGTTATTGCTTCAAATGTTGGAAGACGTGGCAGGGTTGGGGTTTGAACCTATACTAACTCCAGACCCAAGCTCATAATTATTAAACTATAATACTTTTGCTATTGTCTGAATGTATGTGTCCCTCCAAAATTCATATTTTGAAATCCTAACCTCAAAGATGATAGTATTAGGATGTGGGAGGTAATTTGGTCTGATAAAAGAAGGCTAAGGGAGCATATCTGGCCCTTCTCCTATGTGAAGACACAAGATGAAAACTGCTCTCTGTGAACTAAGAAGTGGATACTCACCACTCATCTCCTGGCACTTTTATCTCGAGCTTCTCAGCCTCCAGAACTGTGAGAAATAATTTATGTGGTTTATAAGTTAATCCATTTTATGGTATAAATAGCCCTAACAGACTAAGACTACCTGTTCCAAAAATTATTGCAATCTTTTAAAAAATCCCTTTCTAAACTTTAGATTTATTTGAAATTATTATTATCTAAGTAGTTCTTTCATATTATAATAGTAACACATGGTTGTCATATAAAATTTGGGTGATATAGGTATATAAGCTAAAGGATAAAAATTAAAATAATCCAATCATATCAGTGTTCAATTGCAGAGAACAAATTGCAAATGTTTTCTCCCATTCTGTGTGTTGCCTTTTTACTCTGTTCTTTTAACACATAAAATTGTTTAAATTTTAATAATGTTCAACTTCTCTCTTTTTCTTTTATTGTCTGTGACATTGACGTCATATCCAATAAATTTTTGCCAAGTTTAATGTTATGAAACTTTTGCATTATATTGCCTTCTAAGGGTTTTATAGTTTTAGGTCTTACATTTATTTAGGTCTTCGGTTCATTTTGAGTTAATTTTTGAATGACGGTGCTAGGTAAGAGTCTAACTTCATTTCTTTGCACGTCGATATCTGATTTTTCTAGGACCAAAACTATTTTTCCCCCATTGAATGGTGTGGGCACCACATCAAAATCATTTGACCATATGTGGGAAAATTTTTTTTTCTGGTTTTTTTGTTTGTTTGTTTGTTTTGACACAATCTCACCCTGTCATCCAGGCTGGAGTGCAGTGGCATGATCCCAGCTCACTGCAACCTTTGCCTCCCAGGTTCAAATGATTCTCCTGCCTCAGCCTCCTGAGTAGCTGGGATTACAGGCACCCACCACCACACCTGGATAATTTTTGTATTTTTAGTAGAGATGGGGTTTCACCATGTTGGCCAGGCTGGTCTCGAACTCCTGACCTCAGGTGATCTGCCTGCCTCAGCTTCCCAAAGTGCTGAGTTTACAGGCGTGAGCCATCGTGCCCACCTATTTTTCTGGGTTCTTTATTCTATTTCATTGGTCTACATATCTGTCCTTATGAGAAGTGTAAGTGCTTCAGCTTTGTTCCCTTTTATTCAACATATTTTGGGCTATTCAGGGTCCCTGGAGATTCCATGTGAATTTTTAAATGGGCTTTCTCTTTCTACAAAAAGAAATCATTGAGATTTTGATAGGAATTGCATTGAATATGTAGCTTGCTTTGGGTAGTGTTGACATATTAACAGTATTAAGTCTTCTAATCTCAGAATGTGGAACATTTTTCCACGTATTTGTGTATTCTTTAATTTCAGCAATGTTTTATCATTTTCATTGTACAAATTTTTCAGCTGCCCAGTTAATACCTAAGTACTTTCTTTTCTTTGAAGTCATTGTAATGGAATTATTTTTGTAATTTTCTTTTCAGATTGTTTACTGTTAGTGTATAAAAATTCAACTGATTTTTATGTGTCAACTTTGCATACTGCTATTTTGCTGAATTCATTTATTGATTCTAACAGGTTTTTTTGTGGAATCTAGGGTTTTCTACACATAAAAGCATATCAACTGTGAACAGAGATAATTTTACTCCTTTCTTTCTAACTTAGGTGCCTTTTATTTCTTTTTCTGGCATAATTGCCCTAAATAGGACTTCCAGTCCTATATTGAATAGAAGTGGTGAAAGCAGTCTTCCTTGCCTTGTTTCTGATCTTAGAGGAAAAGCTTTCAATCTTTCACAGTAGAGTGTAATGTTCACTGTAGGCTTTTTATATATGGCTTGTATTATATTGAGGTACTTTCCTTCTATTCTTAGTTTGTTGAATGTTTCAGTTACAAAAGAATGTTAAATTTTGTGGGATAATTTTTCTGCATCAGTTGAGATAATTATGTAGGTTTTTCTCTCATTCTGTTAATGTGATATATTACATTGAGCAATTTTTATATATTAAACATCATTGCATTCAGAAATACGTTGCATTTGATCATAGTGTATAATCATTTTGATATACTGCTGAGTTCCATTTGCTAATATTTTGCTGAAGATTTCTGCATCATTATTTACAGGGACATTGTCCTGTAATTTTCTTTTCCTGTAGTGTCTTTGTCTGGCTTTGGTATCAGGTTCATGCTGACCTTATAGAATAAGACAGGAAATGTTCCCTCCTCTTCAATTCCTCCTCTTCATTTTTTTTTAAAAAGGTTTGAACAGATTAGTGCTCATTTTTCTTTAAATGTTTGGCAGAATTCACCAGTGAATCCATCAGGTCTAAGGTTTTTCTTTGTTGGAAGATTTTTTGATTACTGATTCAATCTCATTATTAGTAATAGATCTATTCATGTTTTCTATTTCTTCATGATTTAGTGTTGTTTCATGTTTCTAGGAATTTGCCCACTTCATTGAAATTATCCAATTGTTGGCATATAATTTGTCATTGCACTCTCATAATCCTTTTTACTTCTGTAGAATCAGTAGTTATATGCCCACTTTCCATTCTGATTTTAGTAGTTTGAGTCTTCTCTCTTTATTTCTTAGTCCCATTAGGTGTCTAAATGTTTGTAATTGTTGTATCTTCCTACCTGTATTAAACCTTTTATGAATATAAAGTTTCCTTCTTGTCTTTAAGAAGATTAAAGTTTATTTTGACTTAAAGTCTATTTTGTCTGCTATAACTACCCCTGCTTTCTTTTGATTACTATTTGCATGAAATATCTTTTTCCTTTTGTCCACTTTCAATCTATTTGTATCTTTGATCTAAAATGAGTCTCTTGTGGACAGCATATACTTCGACCATGTTTTTTCAATCCACTCATCCAATGGCTGTCATTTGATTGGCAAGTTTAATTCATTTACATTTAAAGTAATTACTTATAAGGATGGACTTGTCATTTTACTATTTGTTTTCTATATGGCTTATAATTTTTTGGTATTTCATTTCCTGTATTACTGTCTTCTAGGTTTAGTTTAATTTTTGTAGTGGAATGTTAAAATTCATTTCTCATTTCCTTTTGTATATATTCTATAGATATTTTGTTTGTGGTTATGAGGATTATGTTTAATACCCTAAAGTTATAATACTTTAATTGGCATTTATACCAGGTTAACTTAAGTAACATACAAAAACTCTACTCTTTTAACAGTTCTGCCTCCACCCTTTTTCATGTCATTCACAGAATGACATTTGTATACATTATGTGTTCCAAAACATATACTAATAATTATTAGTCTCTTAAATCACATAGCAAACAAAATTTGGAGTTATAAAGGAAAGCTTCAATAATACTAATTTCTCACATTCTTATTTTTATTGAGATTTTTATTTCTTCATACAGCTTTGAGTTACTGACCAGTGTTTGCAGGACTCCCTTGAGTATTTTTTGCAGGGAAAGCCTATTGGTAAAGAATTCCCTTGGCTTTTGTTTTATGAGACCATTTTAATTTCTCCCTCACTTTTGAAAGAAAGTTTTAGATATAGAATCCTTGGTTGACAGTATTGTTTTTCTTTTAGCACTTTGACTATATTGACTTTTGGCCTCCAAATTTTCTGAGAAATCAGCTGATAGTCTTGTTGAGGATTTGTTATATGTGACAAGTTCCTTCTCTCTTGCTGCTTTCAAGAGTCTCTTAGTTTTTGTCTCTAAAAAATTTTACTATAATGTGCCTCAGTGTGAGTCTTTTTTAGTTCATTTTACTTGGAATTCATTGAGCTTCTTAAATAATTATTTTAATGTCTTTCATCACATTTGGGAATATTTCAGCTATTATTCTTTCAAAAATTAACTCTTTCTCTTTCTGTCTCTTCTCCTTCTGGGACTCTCTCAATGAATATGTTGGTTGATGCTGTCCCACATGTCCTATAGGCTCTTTTCACTTTCCTTCAATCTTTTTTTTTTCTGGTCCTCAGACTCAATAGTTTCCATTGTCCTATCTTCAACTTTATTGATTCTTTCTTCTTTCTGTTCAAATCTCTCTGAATCCTTGTAGTGATTTTTTTTTCATTTCAATTATTATAATTTCAGGTCCAGAAATTCTCTTTGGTTTCCTTTTACATTTTCCATCTCTTTATTGGTATTTCCATTTTTTTCCACACATCATTTTCTTGACTTTCTCCACATCTTCCTTTAGTTCCTTCAGCATCTTTAAAGCAGTTGTTTTAGGATCTTTGTTTAGTAGATCTACCATCAGGTCTATTTCTGTTGATTTATTTTTTTCTTTTGAATGGGTCATACTTGCCAATTTCTTCGTAAGTCTTTTGATATTTTTGTTGAAAACTAGACATTTGAATCTAATAATATGGTTAACTCTGGAAATCAAATCCTCTCCCTTTCCCAGGGCTTGCAGTTTTATTATAGCTTTTGTTGCTGTTGTTGTAGGCTGTCTCTGTGCCAAATATCAGCCTGTGGTGTAAACTTCAGGTCTTCTCAAGTCTTTTCTGAGCCCACACCTTTCCTTACACATGCATGGTAACTTTCTAATTTTCCCCATGTATGCAATTGCTTTTTAAGGTCCTAGTCTTTAATGTCTGGCTTCCAAGAGGGGAAAAGGAGAAAAATAGGTGTGGCAGGAATCACTGGCCCTTTAAATCACCTGGAAGTCCTTTCAGTCGTAGAGGGAGGGCTTGCAACAACTGCGGGAGAGGCAACAACAATGCCTCCGTATCCCGCCCCACCCAGTTTCTACCTGCACCTCTGTGGTCAGAAATAGCAACTGGTAATGAGAACACAGAACCTGATATTTGGAAGACAGGATATTTTTTGCCCACCGTGGCTCCTGCAAACTGTGGGCAGGTTGTTCCGGGAACACATGCAAGCTGCCTGCCATGGGGTTGGGGATGGGAGACAGATTCTACGGTGGTAAGAGCTAAAATCGACCTAAATTAACTGCAATTTACCATCCAAACCATCCCTGGAAGTTACAAGCCTTCAATAGACTCCAGAGTTCCAAAATATTTACATCATACCCATTTTGCTAATGCAATTGTTGTCTAGGTGGGGAGACAGACTCCTGGTGTTTCCTATTTCCATCATCTCAGATTCCTCTCACCAATAGCTCTTTATTGAATAACTGAATGGTGTTCAATTTTGCCAATATGCCACACATGATCTAATAAATCCCCCATTTTGGAAATGTAAATTGTTCTAACGTTTTTAGTATTATAAGCAATGTTCTGATAAATATTTTTCTTGCTAAATCAGTTAATCCACTCATGATATTTCCTTTAGGATAAACTGTTAGAAGTATACTTCTAAGTAAAGCATGCAAAAATGTAATACTATTAAGTAATTTAGAGAAATATAACATCTACTTATTTTCTTACCAACAGTGTACACAACTAGCCAGTTATCTTGCCTACACTGGCTCTTATAATTGTTTTTTAAAGCTGATTATATTGTTAAATTCTGCAGTTACTTGACTATTAATGAGGTTATTTTATGTGTTAATTTGTCATGGCTAAATTTTTCAAAAATTCCTGTTGCCTACTTCATTATTAAAATTTGACTTTGGTTTTAATTAATTTATGAACTCTTTTATTATTGAGATATTATTGTTACCTTTTTGGCATATATGCCACACACATTTTTCTAAGTTCATTTTTTTGTTTGTTTTAAATATTTTTAAAGTTTAAAAAATGTTTAAAGTTTGTAATTCCTAGTAGGAAAACATTATCTCAATGAATACCCTAATGGCAAACCACTGTAAAATGCTTCAGCTGCATTTGGGGTTGAGGGGTAGTGATTATCTTCAAAGCGACCCAGTTCTCTTGATGAAAAGGTCAGAAGTACACTGGTTCGTATTATTGTGACACCCATCCCAAGAATCCTAGGTGATCTAGGTTGCTTTTCCTTCAGCAAGGGCTTTATTTATCAGGAGGGCATTATTATGCTTGACATCCAAATTTGGCTGATAATTTACTGATAAGATTCATAACCTTTGGGTTGCTCTGGTATTTTGACATGTTTGCTGGGTTCTGGACTACATGCTGGAAGGCCACTATAACTTTTGGATCCTGCTTGGCTGCAAGAACCTCTGGATCACTAAGAATTTCATTAAGTCCAGGCATTCCTGCCACTCCAGATATGGCCCCTCCCATTCCCAGCATTCCTCCATGAAAATTATCAGGCATTCCCCCAGGAAAGCCACCAGGAAAAGAGCCATACTGAACTCCTGACTGTCCTCTGGGTTCTTCCTCTATTTGGGCTCTCTCATGCTCTTCTGGAGCCTTCTTAACTCTTTCCGTTCTTTCTTTGATCTCTCGCTCTTCATGTTTTCTCTCACACTTTTTCTGATGTTCTGCAATTTTCTGCATCCTAGGTTGAACTTCTTTCAGCATTGCTCTAGCATCTTCATTATAATCCAATTTAAAGGCAAGGCCAAGCAAGATCATGGGTTGCTTCATTCCAATGGCCTAAGAAGCCTGTGTGGTTTCCCTCATGACTTGTAAGGCTGAACTGAATCAGGATTTATTTCAATGGCTCTGTCACAGTCTCAAATGGCAGGATTTGGCTTCTGTAATTTGACAAAGACACTGGCCCTCTTGGTATACAGAACGGCCAAGGGAGGATTCAGCTTGATGGAAACTGTGAATGGGTCGATGGCTTTCTGCAGTTCGTCATCAGTTAGGGCTTCAGTGGCATCCACTTTCTTATCATTTACCTGATCCATCATCTCCTCTGCTATCTCTGCATTTTCATTTCCCATTTCTTGAGGGGCATCAGTGTCTGGTTCAATCACACCTTCATTATCAGTTCCTAGATCACTTTCCTCACTTGATGGTTTGTCTGTCTTTAAATCTCCTCAGCCTTCTTACTCTCTGTTTTTTCTTCCTTGATATTTTCTTCTGATTGAGCTTTCTGAGTAGCAGATGGCACTTTACCCTGCATGCTTTCCACCCACTCCCTCAGGAAGCACATTTTCTCATGCGCAGAACGCTCGGATCCTGCTTACATATTTTCATGAAGGCCGGAAGCTCGTTCACTTTGCAGGGGTCCATGGTCAGTAGGTGGTGGGTGAAGCTGAGGGGCTGCCGCTGGGTTCCCAGGCCAGGCCCTGGCTCAGCATGACCTCAGTTTCCACATGAATGACCTCAGTTCATTTTTTATGATGTTTTTCACTATATTCTTATCCTGTGTTGTGGTTTCAATTTTTACATTAAAAATGGTCTAAACATTTTTATTTTAGAATTAATTTTTAGAATTAATTTTAAATATATAAGGCATTCAAAATTAAATGCCGTGTAGTGATAAATAAGCATTTGTTGTTTTTTTAAAGATAATAGCTTATTGAGATATTCACATTTAATTTCAATCTTTGAAAGTGTATAATTCAGTGGTTTTTAGTGTATCCACAGAGTTGTGTAAACATCACTACTAACTTTGAAACATTTCATCACCAAAAAAAAAAAAACCTTTCCCTTAATAGCCACTGCCCATTCCCCAGTTCTTCCTGCCCCCTTCCCCAGATCCTGAAAGCCACTAATCTACTTTTCATCTCTAAGAATTTAGGTACCCTGGAGACTTTGTATAAATGGTGCCTCACAGTATGTAGTCTTTTGTGACTGGCTTCTTTCACTTAACACAATATTTTCTGGATTCATCTATGTTGTAGCTTGTATCGGTAATTTATTATTTTTTATTGCCAAATAATATTCTATAGTACAGAATATATTATATTTTGTTTATCCATTAATCAGCTGATGGATATTACCACTTTTTGCAAAATAGGAATAATACTGCTATGAATGTTAATGTACAATTTTTTGTGTGTGAAAATATGTTTCCAATTCTCCTGGCTAAATACTAAGAAGTGAATTAGTAGATAACTCATAGGAAGTTCTACCTGGTTTTCCAATGTCATTGTACCATTTTTATTTCTACCAGAGATGCATAAGTGTTCTACACTCTATCACTGACATGTGTTATATCTGTCTTTTAATAATAGCTATCTTAGTTGATAAGAAGTAATATGTTACTATGGTTTTAATTTGCATTTCTCTAATGGCTAATGATGGTGACTATCTTAATGTGCTTAGTGACCATTTGTATATCTTCTTTGGGGAAATATCTATTCAAGTGTTTACCCATTTTTTTTAAATTGAGTTATCTGTCTTTTTGTCATTGACTTGTAAGCATTCTTTATATTTTCTAGATAAAAGTCCCTCATTATATAAGTGTTTGGCAATATTGTCTCCAAGCCTGTTGGTTAGCTTTTTGCACTCTTGATGCATTTTTGAAGTAAAAAAGGTTTAATTTTCATTAAGTTCAAATTACCTATTTTTTAAAATTTTGTCTATTGTGCTTTCAGTGTCGTACCTAAGAAATTATTGTCTAACTGAAAGTCATGAAAATTTGTTCCTGTTTTTCTCAAAAAGGTTTATAATTTCAGTTCTTACATTTAGGTCTGTTATCTCTTTTGAATTAATTTTTATATATGGTGTGAGGAAGAGGTACACTTTCATCCTTTTGCATGTGTATACCAGTTGTCTCAGCACCATTTGTTGAAGAAACGATTTTTCCTCCACTGAATTGTGTTTGTAACCTTATTGAAAAGTCAATTGCCCATAAATATAAGGTTTTTTTTTTCAGGACTATCATTTCATTGATCTGTATATCTATCCTTATCCTAACACCTCACTGTCTGCATTACTTTAGAGCTTTATAGTAAATTTGATTGGAAGTATGAGTCCTTCAAATTTCTTCTTTTTTTTATAGATTGTTTGAGTTATTCTGTGTGCTTTACAGTTCCATCTAAATTTTAAGATCATTTCATTAATTTTTGCAAAAAAAGCAGCTAGGATTTTCATATAGATGGCATTAAATCTGTATATCAACTTTGGGATTTTGCCTTCTTAACAATAGTAAGTCTTTGATTCATGAACATATCTTTCATTTATTAAGATCTTTTAAAATTTATTTCAGCAATATTTGTAGTTTTCAAGGCTCAAATCTTACATTTCTTTTGTTAACTTTATTCTTAAGTATTTTTATTTTAATGCTCTTATAAATGAAATTGCTTTCTTAATTTCATTTTGGATTGCTTACTACTATTGTACAGCAACAATATTTTTATATTGATCTCAAATCCTGCAACTTTGTTAAATTCATTTATTAGTTGTTGTAGTTTTAATATGGATTCCTTAGGATTTTTTGTATATAAGATGATGTTCTCTGCAAATAGAGATAGTTTTACTTCTTCCTTTCCAATCTGGCTGCTTTTTGTTTGTTTTTGTTTGTGTTTTGTAGCATGTGAATTGGCTTTGAAGTTAATACCAAAAGAATCACTCCAAAAAAAATTTGCCTAAATGCAGCATTTTTAAATTGTTGGTGAGTCCATAAAAGTAACTATGCAGAAAAGCAATATATTTTACTTTATAGTCATATTCCATATTCTAGCACTTACTCTTTAATGTTTACAATAAAAAATATTACAAATTCTTCTGCAGAAAACTTACTCAACAAATTAAATTGAAATTTTCTAGGCCAGCTTTCTGCCAAGAGAGAAGCTGAGAATAAAAATTTCCTGAGAACTTACATACTATTTATATCATCATGTATTAACTATATAACTTTGTTTAATGAATGAATTGTAATCCTAGTGATTTACAAATCATTTTAATCAATATATCCTCTTTATTGAACTTCTCAAAATAACCAGTAATGTTTATGTGATTTTGGTGTTTAAAAATTGACACAGTACATTCTAAGCTCTTAATTCAAACGTGTGAGTCCCAGATAAATCCTACTTAAGAGCTATTATAGGGCTTCACATGATCACTAAGAAACTAAACTGCCATTTCATTCCTGCTCTGTGCCCATAATTATTCTCAGTTCTGGGATGCAGTGGCGAAAAAGTCAGATCTGGCTGTCAAGGAGTTTGTAATCTCATATGGAAAAGATAAATGGTAAACACATAAATAAACCAGCAAGATAATTTCAGAGAGAGGCCACTGCTGTAGAGATAATAGAATATTCTAACATGATTCAGAATGATTGGAACTTCCTCTGTGAGTGAGAATTGAGGAAGAATGTGGTGTAAATAGGAATTTTAGGGAGGTTAATGATGTGCTATGTGAGGTAATTCATCACTTGTTGCCTCTTGAGAAAGGTATTTTGCTACTTCTTAAAACTTTTAGGGGGCCCAATTATTTTACTTATGAATAAGATACCAATTTGAGAAAAAACTTTGACACAGAGTAAAAAGGCTGAGCTATAACTGCTTTATAGATCAAATAATCCTAATCCACAGAGTGATGATTATAATTTATATTTGCATAATGTTTTTGAGTACTTTCCCATTCACTGCCTCTTTTGAGCATCAGGGCAATCCTTTGATGAAAGTAAAACATGATATTATTCTAACAGTAAAAAAAGAAAAGCTAAGTTCAAAGAGTTTGAGTAAGTTATCCATTACACAGCTGGCAAATTATGAAACTTAAAACATAACTATGTGGTTTTTTTTTTTACCTAATTTCAATTAATGCCCTCAATCTTTTATTATTTTAGATTGCTTGTTTTCAATTGACCAGATATTACACCAGAAGTAAGTAAGTATACTATGTAAATTCTTAAGGATACTTTTTGGTCTAAAGAGCCCATATAAAAGGGTGGTTCTCAAAGTGTGGTCCCGGGACCAGCATTATCTGTATCACACGGGAAATTTTTAGAAATGCAAATTATCAGTCCCTACCTCAAAACAAATGAATTAGAAACTCCAGGAGTGGGGCCTAGCAAATTATGTTTTAACAACCGTTCCAAATGATTCTTACACATGCTAAGGTTTGAGATCACAAGTTTAGAAAAGAAGCAATGGTTAATCTCACATTCCTTTTTTTAATTACAAATAAATATATTTTACATTTTAATTTTAATTTCACTGATAGGCATATACATTATATAAATAAAAATTTGCATAAGTGTTTACATATAAACACAGGGCAGTCTTTGAAAATAATACACTCAAAATAATGGCAGGAATTTAAAAGTACTAACATCTATTTTTGTAAGCAGGGTGTGCAAAAGAGGATAATCTTATATGTTTCTGGTAGAAATGTGAATTTAAATGTAATTTCATATAGCAGAATTCTCTTCCTTGGAAATATAGATAAAGTAAATAAAATTATCAGTATTTAAGTAAATATTACAAGTACATTCACTGCAACATGGCCCATTGTAATAAATAGCTAAAGTTAAAAAATCTGCATCAGTAGGGAAATAGTTGAATAAATTATGGCATATCATCATCTTGAAATGTTTCTAGTCATTAAAAATAATTACTCATCATGCTGTACACACTGGAGATTTAATGTACAGCATAGTGACTATCATTAACAATACCATATTGTTTACTTGAAATATGCTGAGAAGACAGGCATAGCTCGTTTTATCGTGCTTCATTTTATTGCACTTCACAGATATTGTGCTGCTTACAAGTTGAAGGTTTGTGGCAACCCTGCCTTGAGCAAGTGTATTGGCACCATTTTTCCAACTGCATGTGCTTACTTCATGTCTGTCACATTTTCATAATTTTTGCAATATTCAAACATTTTCATTATTATTAAAATTAGTATTGTATCTCAGGGAATAAAGAGGCCCGATGAGAGGGAGAGAGATAGGAGAACAGCCGGTTGGTGGAGCAGTCAGAACACACAAAATATTTGAAAATTATGAAACTTAAAACATAACTATGTGTTTTACGATGATATGTGATCAGTGATTGATACAGTTTGGATATTTGTCCTGACCAAATTTCATGCTGAAATGTAATCCCCAGTGTTGGAGTTGGGGCCTGATGAAAGGGGTTTGGATCATGAGGACAGATCCCCCATAAATGGCTTGGACCATCCTCTTAGTGATAAGTGAGCTCTCTCTCTAAGTTCATATGAGATCTGGTTGTTTAAGGGTGTGGCACCTCTATCCCCAATCCCCTCTCTCTTGCTCCTGTTTTCACCATGTGACGTGCAAGTTCCCACTTCAGCTTCCAGCATAAAATTTCCCTAAGCCATCCCCAGAAGCACATGCTGGCATTATACTTCATCTACAGCCTGCAGAACTGTGAGCCAATTAAATCTCTATTCTTATAAATTATCTAGTCTTAGGTATTTCTTTATAGCTATGCAACAATGAATGGCCTAACACAGTGATCTTTGATATTACTATATTAATTGTTTTGAAGTAAAATAAACCACACCCATAAAAGACAGCAACATAACTGATAAATATTTTGTGTGTTCTGACTGCTCCACCAACCGGCCGTTCTCCTATCTCTCTCCCTCTCACTGGGCCTCTTTATTCCCTGAGATACAATACTAAAATTAGGCCAACTACTAACTAGAAAATGGCCTTCAAGTGTTTAAGTGAAAGGAAGAGCCACACATCTCTCACTTTATTTTATTTTTTATTATTATTATTTTTAAAATATATTTATTTTTTGAGACAGGGTCTCACTCTATCACCCAGGCTGGAGTGCAGTGGCGCAATCTCAGTTCACTGCAGTTTCCGCCTCCTGGGTTCAAGAGATTCTCCTGCCTCAGCCACCCAAGTAGCTGGAATTACAGGAGTGCATCACCATTCCCGGCTAATGTTTGTATTTTTGGTGGAGATGGGGTTTCACCACGTTGTCCAGACTTCTCATGAACTCCTGAGCTCAAGGGATCCGCCCACCTCGGCCTCCCAAAGTGCTGAGATTACAGGCTTGAGCCACCGCACCTGGCCGCATCTCTCACTTTAAATAAAATGCTAGAAATGACTATGCTTAGTGAAGAAGGCATGTCTACAGCCAAGAGAGTCTGAAAGCTAGGCCTCTTGCATCAGTTAACCAAGTTATGAATACAAATAAAAAGTTATTGAAAGAAATTAAAAGCGCTACTCCAGTGAACATACAAATGATAAGAAAGTGAAAACAGCCTGTTGCTGATATGAAGAAAGTTTTACTGGTCTGGATAGAAGATCAAACCTCTAATCCAGGGCAATGCCCTAACTCACTCCAGGTCCATGAAGGCTGAGAGAGGTGAGGGAGCTGCAGAAGAAACGTTGTAAGCTGGCAGAGACTGGTTCATTAGGTTTAAGGGAAAAGCCATCTCCACAACATAAAAGTGCAAGGTGAAGCAAGAAGCTGCAGCAAGTTATCTAGAAGATCTAGCTAAGATCAGGGATGAAGGTGGCTACACTAAACAACAGATTTTCAATATAGATGAAACAGCCTTCTATTAGAAGAAGATGCCATCTAGGACTTTCATAGGAGACAGGAGAAGTCAGTGCCTGGCTTCAGAGGACAGGCTGACTCTCTTATTAGGGGCTAGTGCAGCTGGTGGCTTTAAGTGAAAGCCAACGCTCATTTGCCATTTCAAAACTCTTAGGACCCTTAAGAATGATACTAGATCTGCTCTGCCTGGGCTCCCTAAATGGAACAAGAAAGGCTGGATGACAGCACATCTGTTTATAGCATGATTTCCTGAATATTTTAAGCCCACTGTTGAGACTTAATGCACAGAAAAAAGATTCCTTTCAAAATATTACTGTTCATTGACAATGCACCTAGAAATCCAAGGGCTCTGATGGAGATATACAAAGCGATTAATGTTGTTTTCATGACTGCCGTCCATGTACCAAGGAGTAATTTTGATTTTCAAGTCTTTTATTTCAGAAATACTTTTTGTTGTTGTTGTTGTGGGGGTTTTTATAAATGTTGATTCATTAAGCTTTTGTTCTTATTCCATTTTGATACATTTCCTGTACATGGCTCTCACAGTTCTTTTTTTTTTTAAACTTTTATTTTAGATGCAGGGGGTACATATGCAGGTTTGTAACCTGGGTATATTGCATGATGCTAAGGTTTGGGGTCCAAATGATCCCATCACCCAGGTACTCAGCATAGTACCCAACAATTCATTTTTCAATCCTTTCTGTCCTCCTTCCCCCACCCCCAGTAGTCTCGAGTGCCTATTGTTGCCATCTTTATGTCCATGAGTACCCAATGTTTAGTTCCCACTTACAAGCAAGAACATGCAGTATTTGGTCTTCTGTCCCTGCATGAACTCACTTAGGATAATGGCCTCTGGCTGCATATTTGTTGCTGCAAAGGACATGAGTATTTAAGAAACACTCTTGATAAGGGCATAGCTGCTGTAGATAGTGATTCCTCTGATGGTTCTGGGCAAAGTAAATGTAAAGCCGTTTGGAAAAGATTGACCCTTCCAGATGCCATTAAGAAGATTCATGATTCATGCAGGCAGCCAAAACATAAACATGAACAGGAGTTTGGAAGAAATTGATTCCAACCCTCATGGATGACTTTGAGGGGTTCAAGACTTCTGTGGAGGAAGTAACTGCAGCTGTGGTGCAAATAACAAGAGAACTAAAATTAGAGGTGAGCCTGAAGATGTGAATTACTGCAATCTCATGATAAAACCTGAACGCAGGAAGAGTTGCTTCTTATAAATGAGCAAAGAAAGTGGTTTCTTGAGATGGAATCTATTCCTGATGAACATGCAGGAAACACTGTTAAAATGACAACAAAGTATTTGGAATATTCCATAAATTTAGTTGACAAAGCAGCAACAGGATTTAAGAGGATTGGTTCCAATTTTGGACAAAATTCTTCTGTGGGTAAAATGATATCAAAAAGCACAGAAAAATCTTTTGTGAAAGGAAGAGTTGACTGGTGAAGCAAACTTTATTGCAGTCTTATTGTAAGAAATTGCCACAGCCACCCCAACCTTCAGCAACCACCCTCGATCAGTCAGCAGCCATCAACATCGACGCAAGACCCTCTACCAGCAAAAAAGACTACAACTCGCTGAAGGCTCAGATGATCATTAGCATTTTTTAGCAATAAAGTATTTTTTAATTAAGGCATATATATTGCTTTTTAGACATTGTACTATTGCACACTTAATAGACTACAGTATGTGTAAAGATAAATTGTATAAGCACTGGGAAACCAAAAATATGCTGTGACTTTTTGATGACATTTTGTCGCTTTATTATGATATTTACTTTATTGAGGTGATCTGGAACCAAACCCACAATATCTCCCAGGTATTCCTGGAGATCTGTAGTGTCTTCACTAACTTACCCTACACACACAAAATGGTAACTATGAGTAATGATGGATATATTATTTAAATTGATTGTGGTAATCATCTACCACGTATAGCTATATCAAATCATCACATTACACACATTGAATGTGTACTTTTTTTATTTGTCAATTATACCTCAAAAAAGCAAGAAAAAATATTTCATTAAAACTACATCAGTCAAACTGAAGGGATTTTCATTAGTTACAGTTGGGTAAGAACTGCACCATTTTGGAAAACAGACAACAACAGTGTAACATCTATACATGTGTCCATCCATATGCTTATTTACTTATATGGGAGAGAAAAAGAATAGGACAAGGTTCATGCTAGGTTCTTAAATGGTATAACTAGTAGGGTCATGGATTGGTTGCTAATGTGAATGGAGAAATAGATAAAGGCCATACTTTTATCATTTCACGCCTTTATCAATTCACCTTCCTGGCTGAATGATCCTTTAATACCTTTCTGCCTGCTCTGTAGACACCTTATGAGGATAGATGAGAAGCAGCAGCATACAACAATAGCTAAGAACCTAAATTCTGCAACTTAAGGTCTTAGTTGGAAACCAGACTCTATTATCAATGGCTGTATACCCTAAGAGAGGCTACTTAAACTCTCTGAAGTGGTTTTTTCAACTGTACAATATGAATAAAAATATCTATTACACAAGTTTATTGTGAAAATTAAATAGCAAATGTATGTAAAAAGCTTATAACTGTGTCTGTCACTATTCTAAATGAGCTCATATATAAGATATTAATACTATAACAATTAGCTTGAAAACTACTTAGTTTTATAGCTTATATATCAAATAATGATTATGATTATGATTATTAAGCATAGATGTACAACATATAACACAGACATGACACAAAACAGGTATCAAGGGTGGGTGACTGTTCCTGAGATATAAATGGCCATCTTTTTCCTTCTGAAAGGATATACTGCCACTTGCTCTTCCTTGTGGTCCTTCTTCCTTCCTGGGAATAGAATGGTTTACTAGTTTCTATTACATACCCTGGTGATATGGTTGGCTCTGTTCTCACCCAAATCTCACCTTGAGTTGTAATAATCCCCATGTGTCAAGGGTAGGGCCAGGTGAAGATAATTGAATCATGGGGGGTGGTTTCCCCCATACTGTTCTCATGGTAGCGAGTAAGTCTCATGAGATCTGATAGTTTTATAAATGGCAGTTGCCCTGCACAACCTCTCTTGCCTGCCACCACTTAAGATATGACTTTGCTCTTCGTTCGCCTTCCGCCATGACTGGGAGGCCTCCCCAACCATGTGGAACTGTGAGTCAATTAAACCTCTTTCCTTTGTAAATTACCCAGTCTCAGGTATGCCTTTATTAGCAGTGTGAGAGCAGACTAATATACTATATATTTCTGAAATAAGTAACTAATGGCTCTTATTACTGATGATAACTACAGAGAAAGAGATAGGGTTAAGAAGTAACAATCTACTCATCAACAAAGGTTTATCGAATAGCTATTACTGCTGGCACAGTGTGAAGCACTAGAAAAAGAGCAGTGATAAAGCAATAAATGTTTCCTTCCTTCCAGAGCTTACAACAAATTATTTGACTTTAATTATGATTTGTGCTGCAAAGGAGAAATTGAGGATGAAAAGAAAGTACACAGTCAACTCAGAAAACAATAAAGAAGATAGACAGAAGTCAGGTCAGGTAAGGCTTTACAGACCACACTGAAGGTATTCAATAAATCTAAAGCACAGTTGGAAGCCACTGGAAAGTTTTAAATAGTGGCACAATGAGAATTGCCTTTTTAAACAGCTAAATATGATAAATTAAGAATTTGTGTGCTTGTGTTCCTGCTCCTGAAATGACACTGCAATGAGAGTAAAGCTATAAAAGGCTATAAACCCAAAAGAACAAAAAGACTAAAAAGAAAAAAAAGACAAAAGATGTTAATAGGTTTAGAAGATGGAAGCTGGTGAAGAAGCAGTCACTGACTTGCTAAGCAGAGAGAGCTTAAACCTCTAGAGGCAGACAGCAATGAGAAGCTAGTGATTCACCCCAGAGAGACCCAGAAAAAAAAACAGAGATGGAAACACCTCATATTCATTCTGCAGAAGGTGGGGGTAAGACAAGAGGCTAAAAAGGCAGGGGTTGGGGGTCAATGTAATTCTTAAGATGTCTTGAAGCTCAAGTCTCCACCCACACATCTTTAATTATTACCCTTCGCCAAATTGCAAATAAAAGAGGTTTGTTTTATGCTTTGTTTTGCCCAGAAATATTAACCTTGAAAGGCTCTAGATGCTGGACACCAGACCCAAAAGAGGACAGAGTCGGGCGACAGACTGAAGAAGGAGGATTAAGTAAAAGCAGGCAGATTTTAATTACTACCTTACATCCCTGGTGAGAGACTAGATAGTCCCTCTCTGAAAAGAATTGAATCACTCCAGAGAATAAAGCTGTTGATAACGGATATTTGGGGTGTTCCAATTAAAAGTACAACTCAGTTCTGAATTGCCCTTCAGTGATGCTCATTGTTTCTGTGTCTTACCGATGCACTTGGTCCTGCAAATCCATATTACAGTGTTTTTAAATGGAGATCCAGGGATCAGCAGACACCTGAGAAAAAAATCCTCCAACATAAAGAACAGAACAACAACAACAAAAAAAGAGTTATTCAGAGAAAAAGATGACAAGACTAAAACGAGGGTGAAAGCGTGTTAAATATACATAATTAATATGGTCAGACAAATAAGAAAAGATTTTCATTCATGAAATAAGAAAAAAGAATCACTAAGCCAAAAAGTATACAGATCTTAGAACTATAAAAGATGAAATCATAGTAGTTTAATAGAAAGCTCAGAGAACAAGGTCAAAGGAAATCTCCCCAAAATTAAAGCACAAGGAGTAAGGTGACAAAATTGGAAAATAGAAGAGAAGTGAAAATTGGCGATTCAGTCCTAGCAGTCAAAAATCCAACAAAAAAGTAGTTCTAGTAAGGGACTGCACAGAAAAAAAATGGAAGTTAGAACATTACTGAAGGAATAAATCAATAGAATTCTTGGAATTGAAGAACTCAACATTGAGTCTCAGATTGAAATGCTCACTGGGTATCCATCAGGAAAAATGAACAAATTGAACATAATGGAAAAAGAGAAGACACCAAATCTTCCAGAGTGATGAATTGGGTTGTATTAAAAGGATCTGGAGGGTCGGGGACAGTGGCTCATGCCTGTAATCCTAGCACTTTGGGAGGCCGAGGTGGCCTGATCACCTGAGGTCAGGAGTTTAGGACCAGCCTGGCCAACATGGTGAAACCCCACCTCTACTGAAAATACAAAAAAATTAGACGGGCATGGTGGCGGGCGCCTGTAATCCCAACTACTCTGGAGGCTGAGGCAGAAGAATGGCTTGAACCGGGGAAGCAGAGGTTGCAGTGAGCCGAGATCGCACCATTGTACTCCAGCCTAGGCAACAAGAGCGAAACTCCGTCTCAAAAAAAAAAAAAAAAAAAAAAAAAGAAAAGAAAAGAAAAGAAAAGAAAAGGATCTGGAGTCAGAACTGGACTTCTCATTTCTTCTGTGCAAGCCAGAAGTTTGGTCATCATGATCACCAGTTGGCAGTGAGTGGCAATTCCATTTTCTGAATTGAGGAATACGGGACCAGCCCCAAGTGTATACAGAAAGTTACAACTGGTCTGTTATGAATCTGAGCTGCCAATAGAATACAGAAAAGGAAAGTAGTAACACTTGAAGTAAGTTCAAATTTAATAATTTTCTGTGATCTTCATTCAGCTGCTCTGAGATTTCTTCATTTACCTACTCTCTTAGTTCCTGTTTTGGAGGTCAAATAATATTTAAAATTATAGTGTTAGAGTGATTCCCAAGTTCCCCTTACCGTAGAGAGATCTCTGCCTAACAAGCTAACTCTCCCTCCCCCACGATATGAACGAGAAAGGGCAAGAAGGAATTGAAAGAGGATTGAGCAAGTAGGGAAATCAGAGTTTTGAATGTTTAAAATTGTCACTTAACAGGTATGCTTAGTTCACACGGGTTTTTCCTGGGCTCCTTATTTCCAAACCAATCCCTCCTCTACATAACGTAGAGGTCATCCAGAAGGAAGCTGTGACAGAGATCATTACAGCTAGTATTTTTTTGACTAACAATGGCTACTATAGTACTCAGCACAGCCAACAATGCTCAGTAAATATCAGTCTAACCTGCACTCCTCTCCTTTTACTATTTCACCAATTCCTTCAGAGTGTGAGTGGGGAAGTAAATGCAAATCTGTATTGCTTGATTTACTTTTTAGGTTCTTGGTAGCTGAAATAGTTGGAAAAAAAATTTAAAGACTGAAAATTGAAATTCTTGTCATCTTATCCTTCAGCATTGAAAAAGATGACCTTCAATGCAGTTTTTACTTTGCCCAAAATTCTTACCTGAGCTTTTAGTTAGTGACAAACAAAACTGTTTTGATTCACCTGCTAATGAGCTGCGAGATGGTCCAAAGAACAAAGAAAAAAATCAAAACCTGTGATATTCATTTTAGATGAAAGAAAATTTTTTTCAGAGAAATGAATTCAGAAAAACGAATATCCAAGTGAAATTAACTCTGCTTGTTGTGAAAACACAGCAGTAAGAGTAGCAACAGGCCAGGAACAGCATAAACAAATACCAGGAAAGTTATTTTCAGAATTTGTTTACCTAATGTTTAACACTGAAATCAAACACAAGAGGGTCATTAGGGAGACCTTCTGCATTACTCCACTTAAGCAATTAGAATCTGTAAGTAGTATAAAGATAATTACTCATTTGGTCCTCCTACACAGCAATTAGTTCATATGGTAAATATGAAAGTACAGCATTGCATTGCAGGCTGTTTTCTACCGGTCTGTCTGTGTAGACTGTAGCAGAATGGGGGGCAAAAGGCAATTGGAAAGGGCCTTATTAAAGTGTGTTATTTAGTTTTGTGCATACAGTAGATGTTTAATATTTTTTGATTGACAGTGAAATTATTTCTTTAGACAATTTGACTTAAAAACCACCCAAGTCAGTGTGCATAAAGACAAAAACCAAATGAAGCCTGCAGATTTTAGTTTGTCTTAATTCGTGGTAAAAATAGTCCTAGTTAAACCAATCGTCCTATGGATCAGGTCAAAATGATTCAACTAATGAATGCTTCCCTACTGGAGTGCTATGCCTAATATTTATACTAGGTTTACCATAGTCCTGTGCAAAGCAAATAATTTACCATGAACTGATTAGCTGTTTTTAAAAAAGACTACTTATTCTACTAGCATAGACACGCTAACAAGTTCAATGTATCCCACTTCAAAAATAAAGAATCCCTCATCACAAGAGGGTTAAATCAATCCTCAGGTTATGATATGGGATCAAACTCTGCCCGAAAACAGTTTAAAAACCATATAAACATATTATATCCTGAAGCCCATGTTTATTATTTTGTCGCTTTAGTTCTACTGATTTGCACCCATTTGCATTAAAGAATTATAAAAACAGGTGAGCTTAAGACATCCGAGTCCAAATCTCCCATTTTACAGACTCAGGCAAAGACCCGAAAGCAGGCCGGCCGTGGTGGCTAGTGCCAGCATTTTGGGAAGCTAAGGCGGTAGGATTGATTGAGCCCAGGAGTTCGAGACCAGCCAGGGCACCATAGTGAGATCCTTGTCTTTACAATAAGTTTAAAAAAAAAAAATAGCGCCTGGAGTCCCTGGAGTCCTAGCTACTAGGGAGGCTGAAGTAGGAGGATCGCCAAGACCTGAAAACAACTTCAAGGTTAGGCTGAGATGTGTGACAGATTTGAACTTAATCCTGTTCCCTTTAACACCCATGTCTTGTTTTAAGTCGCTAAGAAAGGAGATGGAGGGAGTCAAGTTGTGCATTCTCAATCGCCAATTACGGATTAATCGACAGAATCTTATCTGATTATTAGTACAAATAACATTTTATTTTGTGATCTACCTAAGAGGGTTTGCTTATTCACGCATTCTTTTTTCTAATTAACTTTTTCAGTTTTTCTTCGATTGGGATGACTTTTCCAGAAGGGCAGAAGCAGATAGCACAGAAAGTAGAATACATCCGTGGAAAAGTTGGAGAGACAAAGGCGGCGGGGATGGCTGCACTGATGCAGGGAAAAGTATTGGGAAAACGGAGAGGGCTCCTCGGGCCAACTCTGGGCAACGATGAGCATCCCCGGCCTCGGCAGGGGCGCCGGGCCGCCCGCCCTCCCTCCCTCCCTCCCTCGCGAGTCCCTTCTTCAGAGGACGCGGGGAGCCGGGTCTGCGCGCTCCGCCGCCTGTCACCTAGCGCCCGCGCCGGGCTGCGATTGGACGCGTCGCCGCCAGGCACCCGCCAGAAACACCAGTGCGCTGGGGAGAGGAGGGGGGCGTGCTTGCGAGTCGAGGGCTTGCTTTGGCTTTTTTACGGCTCCCCCCTCCCCTCAGCACTCCATGCCGGGTCTCTAGTTCCAGCGCGCCTCGGCTCGCTCGCGCGGCGGGAGAGTTGGCGCAAACCTCGCGGCAGCCGCAGCCTCCTCGCGCGCCTCTCCTTCCCCTACGCCCTCCGCTCCCGCCATGGGGCCAACGTGGGGCTCCTAAGAGTTGCCGGCTCTCAGCGGCGCAATCTCCAGCCAAAGTCACCGCGGGCGGACTATGGCTTAGGGCGCCAGAGGGGTTAGAGGTACGGGAAGAGGAAAAGACGGCTAACTGGGAAAAAAAGAGAAAACGAAAGAAAAGCCAAACGATGAGTTTCCACAAGGAGGACGGAGTGAACAGTCTGTGCCAGAAGGCTCTGCACATCGTCACCGAGCTGTGCTTCGCCGGCCAGGTGGAGTGGGAGAAGTGCTCGGGCATCTTCCCTCGGGACAGGGGCAGCCAGGGCGGAAGCAGCACAGGTAACCGGGAGGGCTCCGCTCGCGTCCTCGCGCTCCGCTGGGACCCCGCGCGCTAGGCTGCAAGCTCCGGGGTTCTGCGCCTCCCGCGCCGCTCCCGCGGCATATTTGGGGCGCCACGCTTTCCTACCTCGCTCCTTCCTTCGCTCAGCTCCTGACGACTTCGAGGGTGGGGCGTTTGGGTTTTGTTTCCTCCTGTCCACCTGCCGGGCTTCTCCCATTCTCTGGTCCGCTTCCCGCCTCCCGGCGCCGTCTCCCGCTCCCAGCCTCGCCGCGCCTCTCCGCGTTCTCCCACGCCTCCCATCTCCCTCCCGGAGTGGAGAAGTGAGTGCGGGCGGTGACGGCGCCGGGACGGCTCGCGGCTTGGCTGCTTGTGGGGGCGGCTCACCTGTGGGACTAGGGCTGCTCTCGCTCGTTCCACCGGCCGCTGGTCCCGGCCTTGTTGATGGGGGCCAGGCGGGACGGACAAGCCATGCTTGGACGCAGAACTCCCTTGCAGAGGTGGCTGCCTTGGCCTCCGAGGTAACCCGCGGCTGCAACCTGTCGGGCACCTGACAATTTCTAAAGCCCTTTTAATATATATGATTTTCTAGGGTTTCATGACAAAGTTGGTAAAACAAGGATTATTGATCCCATTTGTGAGGCGACACCTAAAGCTCAGAGCACATATCGAAGAAGTGGAAGAGAGGGGAGACGTTTAAAATCCCTAGCACACGCACGCTCTCAGACATCCAACTCACAGACGTCCTCCCTACCCTTCAGGAAACTAGGAAATGGGCTGGATGCAGGAGGATATCGACCGTCGGAAATCTGGAGATGGAAAAAAGTCTCAAGTGGATTTTCCTCAAGGCTTGGGGGTGGAAAGGATCGAATCCAAGCCACTGTTTGGGTCACGGTTGGGGAAAAGGTTGGTGTGTCCAGCCTGCTGTGCTCCTCGGGCGCACGCGAGGTGGATCCCCGAGTTGCGGGCTGCGTGGTTTCAAGAGCCGCTTGAGAGGGTCACTTGTTGCACTAGGAGTCAAAAAACACTGCTTTGGGGATTTTCGACTGGAAGGTTGCCATTCCTTCTCTAGGTTCTTTCCCTTTGCTTTTCCTGTCATTTTGATCTCCTGGCGGGATTTTAAGAGTTGAAGGTAGTCAGGGCAACAAGAGCTGGACAGCCAAGCTCAGGACAACATGGAGCCCTGCGTGCTGGGAGGGAGCAAAGCGGGGCACACTTAGTGAATCCTCTCCACCACCACCCCTGCGTCAAAGCCAAGCGGGGAGTGGGAATGGGTTTAGTTTAGCTTTTACATTCCATCGTTCACATGGGTAGCTGCAGGGTTTGGTATTCTCTGATCCACGGCAACGTGAGCCAAGGGGGCTCTGTCTGCACTTGGCAGAGCTTGAAGATATGCCGCTGCTTGGACCCTGGATAGGGAAACTTTAAAATTTTCTCAGTGTATAAACACAACTGAGAATCATTTCCATTCGTTCAGTAGGTGTTAAATTCCTAGGAGTGTATGAAACTCAGTGGAAGGCACTGTGTGAGCATGTTGTATTCTGTGTCGTGCGTATCGTTGCTAAGTATGAGGTAAAGACCAGAATAGTGTGACCTCAGAGTCCTCTGTGGTGATATTAGATAAGCTTTTCTGAAACGTCTTTAGTGACCCACTTGCTAAAGGTAACACTCAGAGAAGGGGCTACACTGGACGAAATGAGAGTATTTAAGTTTGAAGATTGTGCTTTGGTAATTGAACAGTTGATGCTGTAAATAAAACTACTGATTTTCCTCTTTCCTGCCCTTTTGTGATCACACACCAAATAGTGGTTTCCCGGGTCTCAGACTGGCTGGTAATGAGGAAAATATGTGGAAGTTAGAAACCAAATCCCAGCTCTGAAATCTGTCCAAAATGCACAACTGTATCAGCTTCAGATAAACTATAGTATATGAATTATAGAAATAGTTCTCAGTTTTTCCTAATCACTGCAAGAAGTAGTTGTAGTCTGAATTCCTTTTGAACTTTTCCCCTTGGGAATAAAAAGTGAGAAAAATTAGTCTAAAACAATTGCAAGAATATTTTCCTCCCCTTAAGAGGCAAAATAGACTACATAATATATACAAGTGGGGTATTCGATTTATAATATAGGAACACACATATTTATTGGCTATTACTAGGAAAGATATTCTACTAAGTTGTGTATGACATATAAAGACAAGATTGCTATACGTTTTTCATTTGCGAATCCAAGCAACAGTTAGAAGTAAAATACTTTAATCTGCAAATAGACACTCAAAGTTAATAGATATCTATGAAGTGGATTTAAAGATTGTTTGCCAAATATTTAATTATATTTCTTAGCCACCCAGCGTCACACTGTTCTTTAAAGTAGATTTTCTTATAACTTGTGCTCTCATGCTTGTTATTATAGGTTCCTAAATAAAGCACTTCCAGTGATCCTTCTACTCATCGTTTAATGAGAAGGCCATTTTTGGTAGGAAGACATCAACAATGTTGAATGGCACAGTGCTTATTTACTTTGAAAGTTAATCAGCACTGCCCAGATGGTATTGGTTGTTCTAACATTACAGTGATAATTACAAGCTCCAAAATTGTGTATATTTTTAATTCCTTCACATAGAGATAGTGGGAGAGAAATTCAGGTAATTCCAGTTAAAATCATTCTACATGAAGGGAGCTACAAATCATGTATATATGTAAGATATTATCTTACGGGTTTTGCAAATGCCAGTGAAGTGCAAGTATCACCATTATTTTTACCATATCAGCAGTAGCAGAAGCAGCAGCAGTATTGTTGCCATTGAGGATCTCACAGTCACAATATGATCACAACATGACTGATCTCATACTTTAATAAAATTGGTGAAGACTTACACTAAAGTTGCCAACACAAGTTCATTTACTCTTTTGGCGTAGTTTATCGGAGTCATTATATGTGCCAGCATTACTAATATTCTAGAAAGTTCACCACGTGCACTTTTTAGAATATCAGATATTTTGAGTCTTTTTACCATGGATTCTCTCTTTCTCCCGAAATAGATATGTCACCCACTAAATTAATCTCAATGCACAATATGATTTAATATTAGAATGCTTAGGGAAAATACAAAGCAACATATTGGACCCAAAAGTTATTTTTCAGGCATACTGTGACTGAATATATATAATCGTTTTTAAACTGGATTTAGCTTAATTTCTGATTACTCCTTAATTGCTGCTCAAATGCTCATCAATTTCAAGGAACCTATGTTGCTTAAAAGGCAGACGTCATAAATCACAGCTAATCAATCCCACTTAAGCTCACAGTCACTTGAGCTCACATCACAATTGTATAGCTCTAAGCTTAATTTAAAGATTTTCATAAGCATTTCATTCATCAATGTTCTAATTTTGCATGTTTACACAATTTTAATTTGGGACTAAAAATTCTAAAATAAAAATTTAGACAAATTCTTCTAAATTCATACATATGTTCTTCAGTTTCTTAGAGGTAGGGATAAAAGTAGGTATATGGGAAATAATTTTATTAAAGTACTTAACTGACAAGAAAAGGGATAGTTAAGTAAAATTATAAGAATTACATCATAATTTCCCTCTAAGATCAAGGCATAGTGGGTCTATGATAAAGGTTTAAAATTAGTAGAGGGACTTCATAGTAGAGGGACAAAGCAAATGACTACCCAATTAATTGAGTTATCATTTTTTAATCACCATAACAGGGTTTTACACATCCTAGTGATTGTATAAAGAATTCCAATTCACAAACATATTATCAGTAGAATTTTTTCCTTGAGACTTGTAGGTCTATAAAAGAATAATGGAGCCACAGTGAATTCAGAATGATAGGCCTGTTTGAAGAAGAATATATAAGAGGATATTTTTCCTTCCTCCACATTGTCACTCCACTGAAGAGTGGCCAACTTCTACTATGTCTAGTCTCATTGTCACATGATCATCAATACACCTTGTGCTTGGTCTGATTTACTTCAAATGCAAATGGAGACCTATCTTCAAAGCCAAGAAGATCTCAGCAAACATTTATTCTTCTTAAATCCCAGTATGTTAGCAGTATTGGCAGGAATTTCTTTTTGCTTTAACCTTTTCTTTTTCCTTTGTGACAAATTAAAAGCTGTATTTCCTTTTTCTATGAACTGTGAGTCTCTGACATCTAATTCTTATGAATGATTTTGTATACCAAGCTCAAATCACATTTTTAAAAAAACAGTCATTACTGTAATACTGGCTTTTTGAAAAAATTGGTAATTGTTTGAGATGCATCTGCATTCATTTACAAGCTTTTTTAAATACAAAATTCTGGCAGAAGACAATCATTACCATAAATGTTTAATGTAATTTCCAATGCCAATGAAAATCATTTCTATTTTGAACATGTGATTATATTCTTCCCAATCTACATTTTATTCCACTAACGTTGTACACATTAAGTCAATAGCATGTCAGCTCTTTGAGGTCAGGGGCTTGTTTATTGTTTTATCTTCAGTGCCTTGAAAAATCTGTGGTTCATACTAGCTACTTTATTTATTTACTATTTTTATTTTATTTTTTTGAGATGGAGGTTCACTGTTGTTGCCCAGGCTGGAGTGCAATGGCGGGATCTCAGCTCATCACAACCTCCGCCTCCCAAGTTCAAGCGATTCTCCTGCCTCAGCCTCCCAAGTAGCTGGGATTACAGGCATGTGCCACCACGCCCAGCTAATTTTGTATTTTTAGTAGAGTCGGGGGTTTTCTCCATGTTGGCCGGGCTGGTCTCCAACTCCCGACCTCAGGTGATCCGCCCACTTCTGCATCCCAAAGTGCTGAGATTACAGGCGTGAGCTACTGCACCTGGCCCAATTAATATTTTTTAAATGAATGAATGAATCAAGGGATTTATTATCAAGAAGCTTCAACTTTATTATTTGTAAGATAATGAGTCTTACTTAATAACCTCCAAATCTCTTCTGCAACTAAATTGTATACATCTGTATTTTTGTGTCACCAGTATCTAATACAATATCCTATATAGACATACAAAATATCTAGTTTATGATAATAGCAGAAATTAGAGCACTTACAACATTAAAAAGCTAGAATTCAGTCAGCAATATACTCATGAAAAAGCAACTGAACTTGATATAGGTATCCATTGATTTTCTTCAGAGTGTGTTCAACTGGATCTGTAATTCCATGGCTAAATTTGTAAGTGTTGCATAAAGCACTGAGTCTACAAGTTCTAGAATCTCTGTTCAATATATTCATGTATGGCAGTAAAAGGAAAGCATGTTAGTGTGCTAAGTAGAAAGTGGCAGGAGAAAAGTAACTATCTCATGATTCAAATTGCTGTTAATCATTCCAGTTGAAAGTAGGAATCATCACTTTGCAGATGTGAAAACTAAGGCAAAGAAATTTAACCTCCCTTCAAATCATCACTAGTTAGTGATGGAGATAGGCTAAGAAACCAGGGCTTCTTAGATTTTAGCCTAGGTTTAACAAAGAGTAGGAATAGGAAGAGGAGATTCTGGGGGCGTCCTTGGCGCTGAAGGGCATTGGAAAAAATGTCTGTGAAGATAAGCTGTTAATATTATTACATTATTGGCTATAATTACTGGCCAATAAAATTTCTTAGTGTGCAATTATGACCCATATCTCAAACCTTTCTATTAGATTTTCTATCATCCAAATATAACAAGCAGTGTTTTTCATTTTTCTTACTTGACTATGCACACATGTGTACTTCAGTGTACACGAGTAGGTGTTTACATATTCTTGGCCAAATATAATTGATTTGTGTCAACTGTAAAATCACATAAAAGATTTTTAGTGTGTTTGAAATGCACGACTTTGAACGCATATAATCCTAAATATAGTTCCTTTCATATGTTTATAAATTAGTCTGTAGTGAAAACAGATATTAAATTACCAGTTACATTGTTTTTGTTAATTTGTAATTAGAAAAAATAATTCATTAAAATCTTGTGTGCTGTATTTTCCTACCATATTTTGGTCAAGTGAAGTAATTAACAGTGTATACTATTAAAATTCAGTACTATGAGGCATTGGAGACAAAATGTGACTGAAAAAGAGCTGAGAGTCACCCACTCAAAAATCTCAGGGCATCATTAGTATGAATCTATCAAACTGAACCTTCAGATAAGGAGTGTTATTATTATAGGTCTTTTGTCTAACTGGCACAATGCCAATTTCCTCTGTTGGTGGAATATCTAACACTGACCAAGTTTACAAACAGAATTCCTGACTAAAGAGATGGCTTCTTTTATTATTTTATAGGGTAATTTTCTTTTTCTTCATAATGTTAAATACATCCTAAGTAGTCACTGAAGCTATAAGAGCTGGCATCAACATGCCTCACATAGACTATTGGGGAAAAAAAGTAGAAGCTCTTATGGGTTTATTACCAGAAATTAATAAAACTCTTTACACGTTTGTTTCTTTATGGAATTGTGCTGTAATGGGCTTGGAGCCAGAAGGGGGGAATCATCCTAAGGGGAATAGAAAGGAACCGATATTAATGACTTTTTTTCCTTAGATGGACCTTGATGTATGTTATGATCTACTGTCTAATTTATTATTCCATTGTTGACTAGATAACATGACAGTCAATTTTTAAAACCTTGTAAATGTCAATTTGTCCATACCACAATATTGTCTTAATTAAACAAGGACTATTGTTTTCTCTTCAGTATTTATTAATATTATTCCCTTAGTGATGTTTTAGTAGTCATGGATTTATAGGACTAATGGACAAAACAATATTCAGAGCCTATAATTTCAAATATTTTACAATATAAGCTGTTAATGTACCTGAGAAGTGGTTTTAACATCATGCTTTTATTCAAGCAATATTTATTGAGCGCTTACTATGTGAAAGCCACTGTGCCAAGCATTAAGTGTACTAGAGCCATTAATTAAATGTATGTGATGCTATGTGTGATGTTCAAGTTAATGTAAATATATGAGTAATATACAGTCACCAATTATAAATAATTTACTCAATTATGAGCATATGTAAAGCTTTTTAATAAATTTAGATATTTGAATACCATATTTGGTACTACGTTTTATCAAATCGAAGATGCCTTTGATTATAAGATGCACCATTATTTTATGTGGCACCAAGAAAGGAAAGAGAATGTTGCCAAATAAACTATGGCACAATGCTTTTTAATCACATGGAATTTTTATTTTATATGTATAGAAATACTTCTTTTAAAACTTAGACTTTTAAAGAAATCTTATATCACTCTGACACAAATATAGGAAGGAAAACATAAAAGAAATAGGTTAAAGTAATTTTAAAACTAAAATTCTGAGTCTGATTCTTCTGAGTGGCTTTTTGATTCAGAATTAATGATGTCCTTGTTTTTCCACACATTATCATATTCTATGCCATAAAAAGTGTTAATGATGCATTTTTTCTTAACATAATTCATAAAAGATATACAGGCCAAGGGTACTGTGCTCTAAAGCTAACTGTGCAAATATGTGGGATGTTGGCAGTGTTTCTAAATACATCTGACTCACCACCTTCACCACCCATTTCCAAAAATTTGACTTATAAGGTTGAAGGATGTGCTTCACTATTTTCTTCAATATTCTCTTATAAGCCACTTGGACTTATTCTATGAATTTTGATGCTGATGCTTTTGCTTTAGCGCATACACAAATAACAAAAATTATGACACAATTACTGCTTAGCTGTTAGCTATTGTAACAAGCCGTCAATACTAAGATAACATTCTGATTTCAAAAATGCAAAATGTTTTAAAGTATGTATTTTATAATGGATTAAATATTAAATTAAATTAAATAATTACAATTAATGTAATTGTTATCATTTATTGAAATTCAAGAGAAAGGCAAAGGTCAATAAATTTAAAATGGACATTATAAGAGGCAATGTGCAAGGATTGTTGTTGATTGATGATATTATGTATTAGATTTATAGATGAGAAAGTGACTACTAGTTGCTTCCCAGTATTCATCTCCCGCTTCTACTTCACAGCAATAGGATCTCTTATTTTTCTTAAGAATATGGCAGCATAAAAAATTTTAAAAGAGCATTTTTCAGTCTCTTTCCAGTTTGGTATAGCCACATGACTAAGTCCTGACCCTTGGGAAGTTAGCAATGATGTGCACAACTTCAAATTTGTACTTTTAAAATGAAATGACATACCCTCACCTTCCCTTTTTCCATCTTCTTCTTCCATCCAGCTGCCTGAAATATGGACGTAGTAGCTTGCCATCTTGGACTTCAAAGAGAAGCAAAGACCTTTGAATAGTAGAGCAAAAATGTAAAACAAACCAGAATTCCAGGCACCTTAGAGTTGATAAATCTGCCGTGGCCTGTTTATGCTGGGACAGTCTCACTTCACATGAGAGAGAAATAAACTATCTTGTTTCAGTCACTATTAATTTGGTCCCTTGTTACAGAAATCAGAAGCATGCCCTAATTATTATAATGGTAATATCAGATGAATAGTATAAATAAATTAACTTCAAAGATAATCCCAAAATTTCATCTTTGACTAAGAGTTGCTGATTTGAGTTTTATTCCCCCTCTTTCTCTATGAAATGGTGCCATAAGCAAATATGGACTGTGGTCAGGCAACAACAGGAAGCAGGAAAGAAACAAAGGGCTTGGAATACCGATGAACTAAATTATATTAATTTATGATTAATTATTGGAAATCACATTTTTGTACATTTTGTACATTTTGAAAAATTAAAAATGAACTAGAATTTTAAAATTTTTAAAAAGATACAGATAGACACAGAGGAGAATATCAATTCAAGCAGTAGTAATTGCATGATCATGCAGAAATTGGAATTGAGAACAGGACACTTGGCCTGTGCTTTTCTGCATGATCATGTTAGCTGCATGGGTAGTAGGTAATTGGACCTAGCAGTATTTATAAGTTTCAGTGGACAAGATCATGCAAATGTTATGGCCTGGTTATACAGACTTTAGCAAAGTTCTGCTATGCTAAAAGTTTCTGACGAATTCGCATTTTAGAAGTTCCCTGTATTTTCTGATGACAGTGATCTTTTTCTCAGTTTTTCTGAACTATGTCACTTTATTTTGGGATATTAAAACATGATAAAAGAGTAAAATGTTTCTGACTAAAATTAGTTAGAGATATATAGTCAGACAGACCGACAGACATATAGACAGTGGCAGAATAATGTTTATGCATGTGTATGTAATCAAACCAGAGTTCGAGCAATTTTAAACCTAATTATCTCAGAGCCTAATCTAATTTCTGTTTATTTCATTAGCTCTTAATCTTTCCAGATATGATAGGATGAATGCTATGTAATGGATTCTTTTTAATTATCCGGAGACAGTGAAAATTAGAGCTAGAGAGCCTAGTCATCAAGTTTGCCCGTTGGAATGGGTAACTTGAAAGCCTGTGTAGAAAAGCCAGGACATTCAGATTCATCTCCCTGGCCTCCCAGTGATTGGCCACCTTCCTCCGGTGATCTTCTCTACTTCAACTTACCTCTTTTCTTTTATGATCATACTCAAACCCTTGTCATTATGGTGAACAATACTACCATAGCATTGTAAATCCAAATATTTCGATCCCCAACCAAAATCTCCTATGAGTTCATCTTTCTCATTTAGAAACTCCAGTCTATTAACTTTTTATTTATCTCTGAATTTTCTTTCAGTAAGTATGACGTCATACTTATGATGCATCATTTTATCTGCCCAATACACTCTCTCCTTTGAGGTCTATCACATTCTTCTGGAAAAATAAACAAACCAAAAACCTTATGCATGGATGCATTTATTTGTCTCTTTGCCCCTACACCAAAGCTGCTGAATATTTAGAAGATTTTAAAACCAGGCAGACTAGTATCACTTTATTGGTCTCCAATTTTGAAAGAAATGTATATTCTGACCAGGCATCTAATGTTTTCCTATTCAAGTTTCTCCTATTCTCTATAGTTCTTATTTCAAACTTTTCTCATGCTCTTCAAATATCCCAAACTATTCCCAAATATTCCAACATAATTGACAGTTAACCCTAACTCCTCCTTTGGAGAGAAAAATATAGTTATAAACAAGAATTCACTTGACTTCCTGCCTCGAGACCTATAACCTTACTGGCATCCAGAACTATTCTCTTTTTCTTACAAAGAAAGAAGCAATCCAATTCTTTGATCTTTGCTTCAGATCTCATCCATTGTCACCTTTTATGGGACTTCACTGTTAATTATTCCGCTTAATTGCCTATCCATTCTTGTCCACTGATTCCTTCTCACCATTCTGAAGCATGCTGAAGTATTGCAAATCCTAATGAAAACACCTTCATCAACTCCACGTGCTGCTGTAGTTATTGCTCCCTCTCTCCTCCTTCCCTAGGTATAATTTCCTGAAGGAATTATCTACTCTCACAGAGTCCATTTCCACACTGCCAGTCTTTTTTTTTTTTTTTTTCTGAAGCAGAGTCTCACTCTGTCACCCAGGCTGGAGTGCAGTGGCGCAACCTCGGCTCACTGCAAGCTCCACGTCCCGGGCTCACGCCATTCTCCTGCCTCAGCCTCCCAAGTAGCTGGGACTACAGGCACCCGCCACCACGCCTGGCTAATTTTTTGTATTTTTAGTAGAGACGGAGTTTCATCGCTTTAGCCAGGATGGTGTCGATCTTCTGACCTCGTGATCCGCCCGTCTCAGCCTCCCAAAGTGCTGGGATTACAGGCGGGAGCCACCGCGCCTGGCCGCCAGTCGTTTCTTAATCCACAGTAATCTGGTTAACACAACATCTGCTTCACTGGTCTCATAGAATTCACTAAAGATATACTTGTTAAAGTTAATGGTCACTTCTCAACTCTTGTTTTAATTGAACTTATTTTAATGATTTACACTATCATTTCTTAAAATATTCTCCCAGCTTCTGTGAATACCCATTGACCTGATTTTTTTGCATATCTTTCTTTCTCCTTTTCTCCATTCTTCTGTGCAGGTTTCTTATGCCTTGAAACTCTCTTTAAATATTGTTGTACTCAGGATTCTGTTGAGGAACATTTATCTTCTATGGATTCAGATCCCACTATTTAAGGAAGTTAAATTAGTTGCAATTTATTTAAGTTGCATTTATGCATGACCAATAGCCTACTCAAAATTTCTACTTGCATGACCATAAGTACTTCAAACTCAGTACGAGCAAAACTGAGTCACATTCTTGTCCTTTTTAATCTTCACTCTCCTTCACTAGAGCTTTGATGTTCTCTGGAATCTTTTCTTTCCCATTTCAGCAACCCTGGTTCAGAACCACTAGTCTCTCACATGGATAGCTCTTGTAATCTATTAACTAGTGTTTCCTCTTCCAGTCTTGCCTTCACTTCTATCTTCTCCTTAGTCAAAATGTTAGTTCTGAAATGCATATTTTCATTTCAACACCTTGATTTAAAATGTTTCTGGGATTACTCATTTTTCTTTGAATTAAATCCTAACTCATAGTGTACTTCATGTCATAGTTAAATGAATCACAAACATGAAAAAGTCATTTAAAATTTTTTGATGACTTTATAAATTCTCCTAGATCCTCACTTAATCTTTTGATAGGTTATTTTTCTTTTGTTAAACAAGGCTTGTTATTGGGAGAAAAATATGTCATGAAGAGCTACACATTAAGCACTTGATTTCATTTTTAATACTATTAATGATTAGTCATAATTGCTATGGCAAGCAATGCAAAACATAAATAAAATACAATAAGCTTGTTTGCATAATTTTCGTTTTATTTTTCAGGATAAAATTCTACTTAATCTAACTTCTTGCACTGTTTTCTATTAAGCAGAATTCTCTTTCTCCCATGCCTTGTCTCTGGATGCAAGGAGCTACAACACTGTAATTATGATGGAATCTTGACCCACCCCCATCCTTAAGAAATGATACATCAATTTCTCCCTTCTTTGAGGAAAAAGCTTGACATCTTCAGGAAACAAAAATTTTCTGCTTCTCTATATTGTAAAATGTACAGGGTCAAGTTCTATGGAGAATGCCTGTGCTAGTCCCATCGGCCCATTTCCTGGTTCATAGATGACACCTTCTTGCTATGCCCTCACATGGTAGAAGGGCGAAAGAGCACCCTTGGCCTACTTTATAAGAACACTAATCCTACTCATGAAGACTTCCCTCATGACCTAATGCCCTCCCTAGAAGTCCCACCTCCTAATACCATGGCCTTGGGGATTAGGATGTCAGCATATGAATTTTGGGAGTGATACAAAAATTCAGGCCATAGCACAATTCATTAATTAATTTAGGACTTAAGAAATTAAGAGAAATTAGAAACAAAAATAATACAAAATTATCAGAAAGAATCTATGGAGGTTGAAAAATGTAACTAATAGTGTCTCATTCTCTATTAGTAATGTGTTATTCTCATTTATACTGTTGAAAACCGTTTACAGAAATATTTAATATGATTCTCTGCCTAGAGAATGAGAAGCTTGCATCTTTAGATCAAAGATGAAGCAAACAAGAGTTTCCTATTGTGTGCAGTTTTAGAATTTCTTGCCTCATGGCTTCATGGCAGGTTGCAGTTTTTCAATCCTTGTTTGCAAAATCTTGAACCCATCATAGTGTACTTGGAAATAATATGCATACATCGTAATTTTCCTGTATATAATTAGAATTTTTACTGGGGTAGAACTTTTCAAGTACCTCCTTTGAGAATTTCCAGGAATGATTATTAACCTTTTCTTCCTACAAAGATAACTTAAAATTGAGTTTTTGAAATTCTGAATCAGGAAATAATAACAATTATGATGTAAAATATTCTTTCCATTTCTGCTTTTTTATGTACAATATTAATTAATCATTTTTACATTGTAATTTTTCCAGATATTTCAGTCAGCCTGTTAGCTGTCGTTGTCAGCTTTTGTGGACTGGCCTTGTTGGTTGTCTCACTTTTTGTCTTCTGGAAGCTGTGTTGGCCATGCTGGAAAAGCAAACCTGTGACTTCCAACATCACTACGCTTCCACAGAGCATTTCAAGTGCTCCTACTGAAGTTTTTGAGACTGAAGAGAAAAAAGAAATTAAGGAAAATGAAAAGCCAGCCGTAAAAGCTATTGAGCCTGCAATAAAAATCAGCCACACTTCCCCTGACATCCCAGCAGAAGTCCAAACTGCTTTAAAAGAACATTTAATTAAACATGCACGTGTGCAAAGACAAATTACTGAGCCTACGTCATCAACCCGGTAAGGAAAGATTAAATATATAAAACTGGTGTGTGTGCGTGTGTGTGTGTGTGTGTGTGTGTGTGTGTGTGTGTGAAATTTCATAAGAGAGAAAAACTTTAGTTGGGAGAAAAGAGAAACAGGAGAAATGGGAAAGACATAGGAAATAGATAATTAAATAAAGAGAGAAAGGGTAGGACAGAGTACATAGGGGCAGAGAGAGAGAAACTAAGGACAAAGAAGCCAAATAGGGAGCAGGACCATGAAAGGGGCTTAGCAGAATGTGAGGTCTCAGTAAAATCGTGTAACTACAGATTATTATTAAACTCTTTCCACTGAAATATCATTAGTTGATAGCTGCTACTTGTAGTCTTCCAACTTAATTTGATTCGACCAATAAATATTAAGAAAGCCATTTGAAATGCATATCGTGGAGGCTCTACACAATCAGAAATCATCTAGAATTTCACAATCACAACTAACAGATTCATATTTAGTCTGCAACTGTTTAACACATATACCAAAAACATGAAACTTCATTTTGTGTTTGAGCTCATGTAGACCAGATTCTTACACTGGGCAAAGTATAAGTTCCACAAGAGGCCAAATATCATGGGCATATGGAGGAGTGTACATTAAAAGGAGGAGGAAGAGGACTTCCTTAAGGAAATACATTTTAACTCAGCCTGGGAAAGTCAACAAAACTTTGTTGAAAATAATTAACCGCAGTATATTCTAATTGTATTAACTGTAAAGGAAAAAATGATTCCTATAAAGAGGCATTTTTTTCTGCTAAGTAGAGGCATCAGTTCTTAAAACAAATGGCATGTTAGCAATTTTTCTCGGGTTGCCAAAAGTAGCAACTAGTTTTATTCTAGGGCAGGGTAAAATCAATGGTCTCTTATTGAGAGGTAACTGCTATTTCCTGCAAACTGATTGACTTCCTAATCTTACCTTTTTATCTCTCTAAACCGAAGACGCATCCATGTTTTCCAACATGGTAATACTTTTAAGGGTTTAGAAATCTATCAAATTGAAAAACTGGGTCATATTGGTTACTAGAATTGAAAGGCTATTCAATATGTATTTTGTGTAAATGGGAGAATTATATCTACAAATAAATCCACTTCTTACTTAAATGTATTCCAGAGGGATAAGTAAGAATAATTATTACCTTTGAGATAAGGAACTTTGAGATAAGGAGGAGGGATGGAAGTGTCTTTTTCATGTTACACTTTTCTAGGCTACTTAAATTTTATAACTAAGGAATGCCTCATATTTTGTGTTTATTTTGACAAGTTTTCCTGAGCAATGACATTTAGGCTCATTTTAAATTTTCTTATTTATGATCTTTATGTAATGTAACTCAATAAATATCCATGTTAATTTTTATATTTATTGAACTATATATTTATTGAATTATATATATTTATTGAACTATAAAATAATTGTCCAATAAGCCACTTTTTTTTACATGTTTTACAAATAGGGGAAAAAATGTCTTTGGGAGGAACTTCCTTTTTTCCAAGACATTGGTCTCGCTATACCTATAGGGGAAAACTGCTTTAAAATTACCTCATGTATTTACTTGATTATCACTACCATCCCGGAAAACTTTGGCCACATATGATATCTTATAGCCACGAAGACTTAAGACACTCAGAAATTTCAAGGTAAAAATCTTCAATTAATCTGCAAAACATTTTAAGAATACTAACCACTGTGAATGTATATTAGCTTAGCATTCAGAATCATTCAACTCTTTAGTTGATATGTACAGATTATATGTGGATACTCAATGAAGACAAATTCAGGTAATCAATGTTTTTTTGGAACCTCAGAAAAACAAAATACTATCTCCAAAATATTACCTGTTGAGTATAGAGACCACTTATTTGATTATCCCTAGCTAGAGGAGAATGAAAACACGTGAGCAAAGACTTCTTTTTGCTAGCTATGAATTTCTCAGTAATTATGTGAAATTGAACAAATCAGAAAAACATAAAAATTTCAACCTTAAAATCATAAAAGTTAGATTGTATATATCTGATATTTTGTAAGAGGAAAAACTGCAACACACATTCAGAGTTTTGCTAGAACTTTTATATCAATCATTTCACCTGCCTCTGACTTTCATTGTTTATATGAGTGGTTGGGGAAAGAAGAAGAAGAAAAGAATTTTGAGCACTTGCAATTTTGTCACTATGCCAAGGCACCCTTCCTGATAATCCTTCACCAACCTGCATGAAGTAAGTATTATTAATTATCCCCATGACATGTGAGTTAACTGAAACCCAGAGAGATTTAAAAATTTGCCTGAAGTCATGCAGCTGGGAAGAGTAAGAATTCAAATTTATCCAGATGGATGAACACATATTAAGCATAAACGCCAAAGGGATGTAGTTTTCCTGCAATTAAATATGTTGGTTACAAAGTATGCTTAGGACAGGTAGTTTGAAGGCTGGAGAATAACAGCATCTTCCTGTTCATCATACTCAATTAAAAATCTGGAATTGTATATGAATATCATGAATGACTAGAGTCATTATTTGAACTTGTTTAGCCTTGGGATGAATTCCTTGCAGAAAACATGATTATTTCTAGTTCTCAAAACCCTTATCTACATTAATTACTTCATCATACTAGAAATTACCTTTATAGAGAGAGGAAGAGGAAATTGCTGAGTTCATTAGGTAGTCCACATGAACACAGAGATCAAGGGTACATTATTATAAATCAAATTATTCTGCTCAAATGCCAACTTTTCACTGAGATGTAGCAAAATCAAACCTACATGCACAGGCACGCACACACACACACATAACACACACAGATGCACACACACACACACACACTGAATTTAACTTTAATACTTTGTTTCCTCACCTTATTAGTATGCCCCAGCTCCAGTCTGTTGGGACTCCTTTATAATTTGGCTCAGACATCATAGTCTTTCAAGTTTTACTTGTCTCTGTATTTAAATAGCATCCTGATGGGCCTAGAAGTTAGCAGCATTGCTGGAAACTCCCACATTTTTCAAGTTATCATCTCCTTTTTCAAGTACGTGGACATTTTGCCCTATCAGCCTGCCAGGCAACCAAACAACCCAGCTGGCATTTGTGTATTTCTTCATTACTAATATTCTTCAAGTGTCATCTTGATTGATTGTTTATTCATCCAATAACCTTATTCAACATATATTTAATCCTGGGTATAGTCAACGTATCTTTCACTCTTTCTACTCCAAAAACTCTAAGGATCTGTGACAATTTCTGTAAATTTATAATATAATGTGGAGACAATACATGTAATACCAATATAAGGAATTACAAGTGCCAGCTATGTGATGGAGAATGTGGAATTCAGAACATTGAGACATTATTTCCAGCTAAGGCATGGAGAAGAGCCATTAAGCCGAGTTGAAGGAAACTGGAAATTCAGATAAGTGGCAATTGGGAGAGGATGTGCATTCTAGATGGAAATATTTTATTTGAAAAATCATGGAGTAGGAAATTTTGCTAAGAAAACAGCAGATAAGGTACTGTGATCAAAAAATAGAGTAAAGTGAAGGAATAATGGAAGATAAAATCAGCTGAAATTGAAGTATAGTGAAACCTTGAAATCATGGCCAACATGTTCAGAGTCTCTCTTGTCAAAAAAAAATATTTGTAGCAGAGGAGTTCTGTGGGTAAGTGTTATGTTTTAGGATAATTCACTTGGCAACACTTTACAAGACAGACTGTAGGAGAAGACATCTACTTTGTAATTTTTATTATGTTCAAGTGTAATAAAAATCAGGAAATAGAAAACAACAACAAAAAGAAACATGAAAATGTGTAAAGGAAAATCTAAGATCCCTTGTAAAAAAACATTAAGTGGCACTTCAGTAATTCCATGTCTAGTCCAAATCTTTTAAAAGTCATTAAAGCTGTTATACTATGATTATACCAAGCTACCATTAGCATTTTGGTTCCATATACCCCCACATATAGAGTTCTATGCTGCTTTCTTAGGCAGAAAATCAGCCGTATTCACTTCTATATTGCTTTTTTTTTAAGTTTTTTTTTTTAATACTTTAAGTTTTGATGCCTTAACAAAGCACTGTAGGAACTCAAAGTGAACTTACTGAATTGAAAGAATCAATAAATGAATTCAATGACCTCATCTTGTTTATCTTACTGATCTTCCATGGTTGCTCACTAGAAGGGCACTTGGTCTTTTTACCATCCTCCTAAAGATCTGACTCTCTTTGCCTCTGTGCTTTTGTTCATGCTGCTTTCCTTGTGTGGAATAACAACCTCGTTTTTATGTACTACAAGATCTTTAAGAAAAATGCATCTGAGAGTCCACTTTCTCTGCCCAATTATTAACTATTATCCTTTATTATTTAAAGCTGTAATTACAATCTAGCAATTATTTTCTATCTTAATATTGAGCTCCAGCTGTTTCCAAACTAGATGCTAAATTTTCAGCATCTAAGCGTGTGTAACCCACTTTTATGCCCTCCTATTCCACCACTGTGTAGGCACATAAGTGTCAATTGAATGCTTTTGATTGATTGATCATCCTCCACTTCATTTTGCCTTTTTAAATACATCATCTTTAAAAGCCACACGAGATGATGAGTGGTGAGATAACACTGTGTTCCTATTAGAAAGAGGTTAATGATAGTATTCTCACAGATGAGTATGAGAACCAATTTTCTTTGAATTTATTAATGGCGTAAAGACGAGGTGAATAGTAACTGGCAAAATAATTTGTTGAGGATGAGGAATTATATAGATTTATCACCTTTAGGACTCTAAGTACCTATTGAAAATAATTAGGAACTGTAATAGCAGAACAAATTGAACATGAAACAAAAACAGGAAAATGTACATGGGAAGAAATCACTGACTTATATGTGCTGATGAATTTACAATATTTACAATTAGCTATGGTTGATTAGAAGCGTAATGCTTAAAATCATCATGCATAGTATCCAAAAGAACGCTTAATGTGCATTATTATAAGAAAAATTAAGAATTATGTAAAAATACATAAAATGAGACTCCATAGTTAACTTTACTGTAAGAATGTTTTTAAAAAATTAAATTTCTCTGAAAAGATAGCAAAAATTGAAATTATCTATGCTAAAACACTGTAAGAAATGAAAAATGGGATATTATAAAAAGGGAGAGTTTAAAAGATATATGGCTAGCTAGGGTATCAAGGAGAAACACTTGCCCAGATCAATGGAAAGACCTGAGATCTGTCTCCCTGAAATAGAAGTTCATAAAACATGCTTTGCAGGAAATTGAGGTGGTTAAATAATTCCCTTCATGAAAGAAATGTATTAGGTGTACACACTTGCTTCTTTTCTGAAAAGAGATGACTCTTTGAACTAAGGCCAGAGTCACATCCTTACAAAATGATTGAAATTTGAAGTTTGTTTTCTGGTAGTTATAAATATTGTCTTATACGCAAACACTGATTTGGTTCTTTTTTGCTGTTGTTGTTGTTGTTTTGATACAGAGTCTCACTCTGTTGCCCAGGCAGGAGTGCAGTGGCATGATCATACCTCTCTGCAGCCTTGAGCTCCTAGGTTCAAGCAATCCTCCTGCCTCAGCCTCCCAAGTTGCCAGGACTACAGGCACGCACCACCAGGCCCAGCTAATTATTTTTTATTTTTTTTTCTAGAGATGAGGTCTCAAAGTGTTGCCTAAGCTGGTCTTGAATTCCTGGCCTCAAGCAATCCTCTCACCTCAGCCTCCTAGTCTTCTACATAATGTGAATAAATGCTTGGGAAGTTTGATTTTATTAGTCACAGGAATCTTAGGGTAAATTATTTTCATACAAACTCCAGCAGACATTTTCTTAGTTCCTAGTAAATGTTTATGATGAAATACATTAAAAGATGAATAATACTCTCTGCCATAATAAAGACCACAATTTAGAAGAAAGTCTTGGAGAGTGAAAGACAAATCTGAAAACAGGTAATTTCAATACACTATTTGCAGTAAGGTCGAGGAGATGTGGAGACACAGATGAAGTGTCATCAAGAGTGGTACATGAACCTGGTTGTAGAGCTATCACTATTTTTCTCCAAAACCTAGCTGAGCTCACCAGGAGGTAAGCTCATGAGAGTCAGAAACATATTACAAAGTAAGGGGAAGGTATAAAATTGCACACTGAGCATAGAGATCCAGAGCTAGAATTATGGTCACATGACCTTCTAGGAATCAAGTAATACTAAAAAATAAGTTCTTGGATTTATTATTTTGACCAGTTATTATTGAGAATTTTTTAATGTTTAAGGCTTCAGTCTATATTTACTTCTTTTCTTGTAATATAATATGTTCTCAGAACGTTATCTGTAGATCAGAAGCTATGAAGAAGTATTTTCCAAGCTAATTACTTCATATACATTCATTTAAATATATGCTAGATCAAAAGCAATTGCTTATCATCTCTTTTTATGGTGTTTATGTCATATTTTTTTAAACATGGAGAGAAGTCAAGGTAAGTATTTTGAGAATAACTGAATTGCCTCCTTAGCACAGTAGGCAGTATGTTATTCTCATAATCTGAAGGTTTTAAGTTCAGAATAACTGAACATTTATTTCATTAAATTTATTAAAGAACCAATTGCCTGTAAATTCTTTGAACAGAATAAAGGTAAATTACTGAAGGGATTTTAGCTATCTCTTTAAATAATTGAGAAGAAAACCAGTTGTTTCTCTAGCTTTTATTATTATTATTCAATTGCTATTTAGTCACATGGCTAAATTTTTCAGAGAAAATATTTTCTTTATTCAACAATATTTATTGAACACTTATGTCATAGACATTTTTCTTGAAATTTGATACACATTTGGCACAAAACTGTCAAAAGTCCCCCCACACACACACATTCTTATAAGTTATATGATGTATTACAAGGTAATAAGTCCTACAGAAAATAATAGCACAAAATAAAGGGATTGGAAAGTCTGAATGGGAGGCAGTGTTGTAATTTTAAACATTGTAGCCAGGACAGATCTTGCTGAGAAGGTAAATTGTGCAAAGACTCAAAAGTGGTAGAGAGGTGGGCCTTGAGGAGTCTGGGAGGGCTTTTTATGTAGAGGAGGCAGGCACTGCAAAGGCCCTGAAGCTAGAACCCGTGCTACATGTTCCCACCAAGAGAAATCCAGGAGAAAAAGCAGAGGTAGAGGGGGCTACATTATTTTTGACTTTTACTCTGAGTAATATGGGAAGCCACTAGAGGGTTTTAAGTCAAAAGAGTAGCATGACCTGTTTTTAAAAGATGATTCTGCCTGCTGTATTGAAAATAGACATTGAGGAAGGCACATGGATAGAAGCAGAAAGTCCACTAAGGAAGCTCTAATCCAGGCCAGAGGTGATGGTGTTTCAGACCAGGGAAGTGGTAGTTAATAATGTTCATGAGAACTGACTGGATATATTTTGAGGGTGTAAGAAACAGACCATCCTGATAGATGAGCTGGGGCATGTGAGTGAAATAAGAAGAGTCAAAAATGACTTGAAGATTTTGGACCGAGCGTCTGGGAAAATCAAGTTGAGACAGATGAGACTGTGAATGGAGTGAGTTAGAGAGGCAAGAAGAGGAGATCCGGACCTGTGGTATTTAAAGATTCTGTTAGAAATCTAAGTGGACAAGTTCAGTGGGCAACCAGGTAATGACTCTGGAACTCTGAAGTGAATCTGTGATACATATATAAATTTGGGATCCTCAGCATGTAGATTATGTCCTAAGCGAGGAGATGATATCATCAAATAGTTGAGAGTAGATGGGAAAAAGAAGAAAAAGGATAAATTTCTGAGCGTTGAGAGGTTAGGAACAGCCAAGTGGACTGAGAAGTAGAGGCTAGTAAAGTAGGAGGGAAGCTGGGAGGGCGGAACCTGGAAGCCAAGTGAGGAGAGTAAGTAAGCTCCCAGGAGAGAGTAGCTGTCAGAGGAGTGTGCTAAGCCCGGGTGGGATGAGGATTGTGAATGGACCTGTTTGAATTTAGCAATGTTGGGGAGACATTGTTCACATTTTCAAGAGCGATTGTGGTACAGTATATGAAAAGCTGATTAGAGTAAGTTTAAATAGAATTTGAACAGTGAATATACTGTCCTCAACTCTTTCAAAGAGTTTTGCTGCAAATATGTTAGAGAAACAGAGCAGCAAAGAGAAAGTAGGGTGAATAGCAAGTTCTTTTAACTTTACATCCCAACTCAGACAACCCTTCCAACTCACCAAAACCTCCAATCCATTGATTCTGTCACTATGTCATAATTCCTATATCTTTGATATTATTTTTTTTCCTTCTTAGTTTCAATTCCATGGTCAATCAGAGCCACTCTCTTGTGTACACCCTCAATTCTCTTGTTGCTTTTTATTTTTGTATTTGCAGGGCAAAACCACAGCCCTAGCTGAATTCATTGCTCTGTCATCTCTACACTTGCACATGTGCAAATGAGTATGACTGGAAAAAATATAAACAACTCTCATGGATCCACTTGAAATTCATGACCACATTCCTCATTTAGCTAGCTAATGCTGCACAGCAATCTGTTTTCCCTCTCAATCTTTTGAGAGTCACAAGACTATTGTGTTGATACATTTTCTGTTGCTCATAGCAGAATACCAGAAGCTGGATCATTTATAAAGAAAATGAATTTATTTCTTACAGTTAGAAAAGCTTTGAAGTCCCTTGTTGAGGGGCCACATCTGGCAAGGGTCTTCTTGCCGGTGAGGACTCTGCAGAGTCCCAAGGTGGTGCAGACCATCTCAAGGCAAAGGGGCAGAGTATGCTAATATGCTAGCTCAGCTCTCTCTTCCTCTTCTTATAAAGCCAGCAGCTCCACTCCCGAGATCATCCACAAATCTATTAACTCATTAATCCATTGATTCATGAATGGATTTAATCCATTCATGAGGCAGAGCCCTTATGCCCTAGTCATATCTTACAGTACAGGCTCTGCCTCTCAATACTGCCACATCAGGGATTAAGTTTCAATGTGAGTTTTAGAGGGGACATTCAAACCACACCATTTTATACCTTCTCACTTTTTTCAAACTTCTATCACCTTCTTCCTCTTCTCAGTTTTAATTAATTACCTTACTTCCCATTTTACTAAGAAAATTGAAGCAAATGGCAGAAACCTTCCACAGGCTCCCACCACATCATCAACCCTCTTACCAGGATCTATCCCATATACTTGCCTTCCTGATGGATAGTACATTAACTATCAATGCTCCTATCTATAACGAATCCCTCCACTTTCAGGTTAGATCCCATTTTACCTCCTGTCACTTCTAAGAATCCTCCTCTCTGATGCTTGCATTATTATTTCTCCCTCTCTATTTTATTAGTATCCTCAGCACAAGAGCATGCCATTATTTCTTCTATCTTAAAGGAACCTGAAAAGGTAGGAAGTGTTGATGAGAGGGAAGCATGCCTGAAATTGTGGTTGTGAAGAGCTTGCTGTTGATGATGACAAAATCTGGCTATTTACATGATAGTGACTGAGGTTAAGTAGAGAACATCATTGGAAGAGAGGAGTTCATTGAACCTAGAGGCCAAAGGGTTGGAAGAAACACTTAGATTGTCGGAATTCGAGCAGAAACGTTGTAAAAGAGAATGTTCATGAACCAGAAGACTAAGATAATGAAGACTTTATAGAAAGGGTTTTCAATATCAATAGATCACTAACAGTAAGTGGTAATGGAAGTGTGATTTCTTGACTTGAGCTTCAGAGATGGGTGTGGTAGCTTAAAAGAGAATGGTGTGGGCCGGGCGTGGTGGCTCACACTTGTAATCCCAGCACTTTGGGAGGCTGAGGTGGGTGGATTGCCTAAGGTCAGGATTTGGAGGCCAGTTTGGCCAACATAATGAAACCCCGTCTCTACTAAAAATACAAAAAAATCAGCGGGGCGTGGTGGCACACTCCTGTTATCCCAGCTACTCGGGAAGCTGAGGCAAGGGAATTGCTTGAACCAGGGAGGAGGAGGTTGCTGTAAGCTGAGATCACACCACTGCACTCCAGCCTGGGTGACAGAGTGAGACTCTGTCTCAACAACAACAAATAAAAGAGAATGGTGTGAAGTGGTAATGGGGGTCAAGAGGAAACTGTTACTTCACTGGCAAGCTGGTGGAATAAGGGCCATGGGGAAATAACAGCCACCATGTGAGAGGAACACATACGAAATGATGTCCTTGGGGAAGAGCCAGATTTCTACCAGGTAATAAGGTGAGAAACATTCTAAAAAGGGATTAAGGATATAGAGGTCAATGGATTATTTTAAAAAATCCACTGTGGCATTTTATACAGTTTACTCTCCCTATAGTTTTTTGCATGGTATATGCTCAGATATTTGTGTAATGAATCACTCTTGTCTTTGTTTCAAATTGAACGGGAGAAAATAGGAAACAGAATAAAAACTTTGTTTACCAGAAACTTGATTTCGTCTTGCTATTCAAGCCTCTTTATGAAATGGTGATCTAACTGAATATATGATGAGAGTTTCTGATGCAGATTTTAATATTAAAATAGAGATAAATTTCTTTTAAACATTTAATTATTAAATAGAAAGCTGCTAAAGATATTTTTACTTTTCTTCTGTGATTTCTTAAGCAATATCTAAGGTTAATTTAATAGATAGTAAAGACATTGCAAATTAAAGCAAGAGGATATAGGTTTCCCATTAGATGCTGAGATGTGAAGTCAGGGGGTCTTTTTAGACCAGGGAGGTGGTCCACGACATGCTCACATAGAAATGACTTTGAGCTGTCTCTGCATCCCCAGGAAGCCTAGATTTGAGCTTGTCAAAACCATTATGGCATATGTACTTTGGCTTCTTGTATCCTGAATTATAAAAGTAATAACTAATGTTAATATGAAAAGTGATAATTGGGAAAGTCATATATAATATATCATTTAATCTCAAAAACTGTAAAAGAACCATTTTATAAATGAGAAAAATAAAGTTCAAACAAGTTAAGTGATGTGCCTAAATTTGCCCTCACTACATAGGGAAGCTAGAACCAAACTGTAGCAGACTCTAGTCCAACACTTTTTCCATGTCATCTCTTTCTTTGTAAAAGTCTTTAAACACTTTCTTCTGATAGGCGGGAAGAATTTGCTCGTATTCCAGTGAGTTTCCAGGACTCTAACCACATGTCAACCAGAGCAGCTCCGTCTTTACATAGTCAACTTCTGGCCTCAGATTTTATTGGAAGGAAAGGATCTATTTGTAGTAAATATTTGAAAGTGACCATATTAATACATTATATTCCAGTGCCATCAACTAATGTTGACTATATCTAGCTACCCTCAGAGTTCCAGGTTAGATGGGGCAAGTTTTTCTTTCTCTGGTAGAGTGCTTGGACAGTGCTAGATTTGAAGAATAAGATGGTGATGTTAGGGTGTCAATTTTAGATCTTCCCTGCTTTCTCTTGTGGGCATTTAATGCTATAAATTTCCTTCTACACACTGCTTTCAATGTGTCCCAGAGATTCTGGTATGTTGTGGCTTTGTTCTCACTGGTTTCAAAGAACCTCTTTATTTCTGCCTTCATTTCATTATGCACCCAGTAGTCATTCAGGAGCAGGTTGTTCAGATTCCATGTAGTTGAGTGCTTTTGAGTGAGTTTCTTAATCCTGAGTTCTAGTTTGATTGCACTGTGGTCTGAGAGACAGTTTGTGATAATTTCTGTTCTTTTACATTTGCTGAGGAGTGCTTCCAACTATGTGGTCATTTCTGGAATAAGTGCAATGTGGTGCTGAGAAGAATGTATATTCTGTTGATTTGGGGTGGAGAGTTCTGTAGATGTCTATTAGGTCCGCTTGGTGCAGAGCTGAGTTCAATTCCTGGATATCCTTGTTAACTTTCTGTCTCTTTGATCTGTCTGATGTTGACAGTGCGGTGTGAAAGTCTCCAATTATTATTGTGGGGGAGTCTAAGTCTCTTTGTATGTTTCTAAGGACTTACTTTATGAATCTGGGTGCTCCTGTATTGGGTGCATATATATTTAGGATAGTTAGCTCTTCTTGTTGAATTGATCCCTTTACCATTATGTAATGGCCTTCTTTGTCTCTTTTGATCTTTGTTGGTTTAAAGTCTGTTTTATCAGATACTAGGATTGCAACCCCTGCCTTTTTTTGTTTTCCATTTGCTTGGTAGATCTTCCTCCATCCCTTTACTTTGAGCCTATGTGTGTCTCTGCATGTGAGATGGGTTTCCTGAATACAGCACACTCATGGGTCTTGACTCTTTATCCAATTAGCCAGTCTGTGTCTTTTAATTGGAGCATTTAGCCCATTTACATTTAAGATTAATATTGTTATGTGTGAATTTGATCCTGTCATTATGATGTTAGCTGGTTATTTTGCTCGTTAGTTGATGCAGTTTCTTCCTAGCCTTGAAGGTCTTCACAATTTGGCATGTTTTTGCAGTGGCTGGTACCGGTTGTTCCTTTCCATGTTTAGTGCTTCCTTCAGGAGCTCTTTTAGGACAGGCCTGGTGGTGACAAAATCTCTCAGCATTTACTTGTCTGTAAAGGATTTTATTTCTCCTTCACTTATGAAGCTTAGTTTGGCTGGATATGAAATTCTGAGTTGAAAATACTTTTCTTTAAGAATGTTGAATATTGGCCCCCACTCTCTTCTGGCTTGTAGAGTTTCTGCCGAGAGATCCACTGTTAGTCTGATGGGCTTCCCTTTGTGGGTAACCCAACCTTTCTCTCTGGCTGCCCTTAGCATTTTTTCCTTCATTTCAACTTTGGTGAATCTGACAATTATGTGTCTTGGAGTTGCTCTTCTCAAGGAGTATCTTTGTGGCATTCTCAGTATTTCCTGAATTTGAATGTTGGCCTGCCTTGCTAGATTGGGGAAGTTCTCCTGGATAATATCCAGCAGAGTGTTTTCCAACTTGGTTCCATTCTCTCCGTCACTTTCAGGTACACCAATCAGATGTAGATTTGGTCTTTTCACATAGTCCCATATTTCTTGGAGGCTTTGTTAATTTCTTTTTACTCTTTTTTCTCTAAACTTCTCTTCTCGCTTCATTTCATTAATTTGATCTTCAGTCACTGATACCCTTTCTTCCACTTGATCAAATCAGCTACTGAAGCTTGTGCATTTGTCACGTAGTTCTCGTGCCGTGGTTTTCAGCTCCATCAGGTCATTTAAGGACTTCTATACACTGGTTATTCTAGTTAGCCATTCGTCTAATCTTTTTTCAAGGTTTTTAGTTTTTTTGGATGGGTTCGAACTTCCTCCTTTAGCCAGGAGAAGTTTGATCGTCTGAAGCCTTCTTCTCTCAATTCATCCAAATCTTTCTCCATCCAGCTTTGTTCTGCTGCTGGCGAGGAGCTGCATTCCTTTGGAGCGGGAGAGGTGCTCTGATTTTTAGAATTTTCAGGTTTTCTGCTCTGTTTTTTCCCCATCTTTGTGGTTTTATCTACCTTTGGTCTTTGATGATGGTGACGTACAGATCGGGTTTTGGTGTGGATGTCCTTTCTGTTTGTTGGTTTTCCTTCTAACAGTCAGACCCTTAGCTGCAGGTTGGTGCAAAAGTAATTGCGGTTTTTACCATTACTTTCAACAGCAAAAAATACAATTACTTTTGCACCAACCTAATACTAGGTTTCAAGGATAAGAATGGCGTTAGTAACAGTCAAATGACTTGCACTGTGATTGGTTGGATATTTGTGTGAGACTATATAGCCACTAATCACTGTCATTCTAAAAGAGAAAAAAAAAAAGCCAGAAGAAAAAAAATATCTGTGTTGTCATGGCAATAGTTTAAACATTGTAATAATTAAAGCTTGTCTTAACTGACTAGCTAAACTGTGACTTAGAATATGTGCTATTTACCCTATTATTAGGACACTGACTTACTAGAACAAAAATGTTACTACTTTTTTATTCTTATAAAGGGACTTTACAGCTGCAAAAATATAATCAGAGTCATAAAGAAGAAATTACTAATTTTGGCACAGAGGATAGAAAATTGAAGTTTTATAATATTGAAAAGCACAAGGGAGTGTGAAATGATGGAATAAATCTATAAAAAAATAAAGAATTAACTTCTTAGGGGTTTTGCTCCCAAAAATCAAAAGCTTGTTGCATAACTGAAAGTGATTTTAGCAAGAATGTTAGATTTTCTATTCAATAAAATATCCTAAATATCTTAAGAATATTGAATATGCAAACTAGATTATACTAGACCCTTTTAACATTTCACAGTAATATATACTACTTATATTCCTTTTTATATTCTTTTTATTTTCATAAATTCCCTCTGACCTTTGCTAACCCTAATTTAAGCTCCTGATCTTTCATATCTGGGGTAGATTCGAGGTCAAAATACATTTCATGTCATGCCTAATGCATTAGAGTGGCATATATCTGAAGAAACAAATCACTTCAAGATTTAAGTTAGCAAAGACTTTTTTATGTGTATACTCACTTAGATACAGAAACTAAAATATTGAGTCATAAAGCCAGTGTAGTTTCAATTAGGGGCCAATTCTCTCACCTGAGATAAAGTAGTTCTAGTATGTTTCTCTATATAGTAACGGTTTTTCAATTATAGTCAAATTTTAAAAGTCATTTTTAATATATGATATACCACAAATCGCCTTACAAATTTTACTTTGTTGTTATTTTCAAAATATGTCATTTCCAATAAAATATATCATAACTATAAACTCGATAAGAATTTTGTACACAATGGTCTGATCATAATTTCATTTACAAATTAAACATTTGTGCTCCCTTCCAATTTTTGGTAACAAGTCAAATAAGTTAAAAGCACCTCTAAAAACATATCAAGCTATCTTAACCAAATAAACTTGAGATCTTAGTGGATTACATAATTATGTTATATATAATATTTAAGTGGAAAACATATAAAAGCATATAAAATGATACTTTAATATTTTATATGGTTATTTAGTAGAATAATTGATTTTTGAAGTAATTTAATCAAATAGGATAACCATTAATATGACAGTATATATAGCATGGTGGTTAAGGGTGTGGCCACTAGACCCAGACTGCCTCAGTGAAATTTTAATTTTAGCACCTGCTTACCAGCAAGACTTTGAATGCATTACTCACTTCTCTGTGCCTCAGTGTCCTCATTTGGGAACATAATAGTAAGTACCTGATTGGGTTACATGAGGCTCAGTTGAATTGATAAAGAATTTATACCCATACCTGCAACATCGTAAGTACTCCTATGTTAGCTTTTACTGGCAACATCTGAAGAGCAAAGGCATCCTAACTTTTTATTGTGAAAATGTTTTAGTGTATATTTCTGTATTTTTTCCCATCTTTTATTATTATTTTTTATTTTCTTCCAAATTGTATTTGACATTATTTTTTTCATATTCTAATTCTTGGCATACTTTAGCACTAATCTGATATTAGAATATCATTTTTCCATAGACTTTCTCCTTTTATCCATATAATTCTCTGTGACAGCACACTAAAGCTTCTCATTCTTTGGGTGAAGCTGAGCAGAATGTGGAGGACGAGATCTTTCAAAAACACTGCAGTTTACTTTCACCTGTGACACCCTTCCACCACTTTACTAGTTTGAATCTTTAATTTGCAATATATGTATTGAACGATAGGTCCTTTAAACAAATGTCTGAGAAGTCTGTGAATAGTACAGTAGAAACAAGCAGAGCTACTGATACTCTCACAGCTCATTTCAGTTTGTCTTCCTTATCTGTATGAAAGGGGACCATAGAGAGAGGTTGAATTAGTTTCAATACAGCCCTAAGCACTTCTTATGGTGTTTTTTGAATTACTGCTCAACAGTTCAGTCCAGTTAAAGTAAATAAGCAAATTAAACGTAAGAGAATGAACTTGGCAACACCTTAGATTATAATTCTGATTTTAACAAATTCCATTCTATTAATGCACATAATATTGATACTGCGTTGTAAACATTTAGGCCCGTAAAATTACTGAAGGACTATAGAATGAAAGAGAATCACAGAATAAACTTAAGGTTAGAGAACACTTAATGTTTCCTGCCTCAAGTGAGATGCTAGACTTGCCAAAATCTTATGTGAGGCAGAAATATTTTTCTTCAGCATCTAACCTTTGTTCTACATTTCCAGCTTGAGGAAGTTCACTACTTCACTGTGTTGGATAGCTCTAGATTATTTTAAACGTTCCTTTATATTAAGCTAAAGTTTATCTTCCTGCACCTTCCATAAATTCCTAAATGCTGTCATGACAGTCCTTCGGGCATTAGAAGACAGCTAGCCTTAATCCATCTTTACCCTATTCTTCAACTTCTCCTTTCTAGGTTCAACATCCTCAGCTCCTGTCACTACTTCTCAAATGGTATTGTGGCCAGGCATCTCACTTATGGATGGTCACTAATTTGTAAACTCTTCTTTGAGATCAGGAGATCGAGACCATCCTGGCTAACATGGTGAAACCCCAGTCTCTACTAAAAATACCAAAAAATTAGCCGGGCGTGGTAGGGGGCGCCTGTAGTCCCAGCTACTCGGAAGACTGAGGGAGGAGAATGGCATGAACCTGGGAGGCGGAGCTCGCAGTGAGCCGAGATCACGCCACTGCACTCCAGCCTGGGCGGCAGAGTGAGACTCCGTCTCAAAAAAAAAAAAAGAAAAGAAATCAATGTTCTCACGCCTGTAATCCCAGCACTTTGGGAGGTGGAGGTGGGCAAATCACTTAAGGTCAGGAGTTTGAGACCAGCCTGGCCAACATGGTGAAACCCCATCTCTACCAAAAATACAAAAATTAGCCAGGTGCGGTGGTGGGAGCCTCTAATCTCAGCTACTTGGGAGCCTGAGGCAGGAGAATCGCCTCAACCTGGGAGGTTGAGGTTGCAGTAAGCCAAGATTGTGTCACTGCACTCCAGCCTGGGTGACAGAGTGAGAACCCATTTCGAAAAAAAAGAAATCGAGCTTCATGTGTGCATCAGTGAATCAAATATTAATCATGCAATGTCATCTATATTACTTAGTGCTGTAACAGGTGTAGACCTGCTGCAATAGACAACAGAAGTGAATAAAGTATTTTGAAATGAGTGTTCTGAGGGTGCACTGACTGGGTATTAAGTATAAGACAGAGCTGGAAGGAAAAAAAAAAGCCAGCTGAAGGTGACTAGAGAAAGCAAAATATATGGAGATAAGGATCTGGACTCCACAGCAATGGAAAAGGAGTGGAATGAACAACTATATGAGATGTTTCAAAGGAAAAGCAACAGGATTTAGAAAACTGAGTAAATCCTATGGGTAAAGGGAGAATGATTCAAAGCATACTTCATTCTTGGAAGCATGAGTGACTGATAAAAAATATTAGTGCTATTGTCAGAGATTGTGGGATAAAGAACCGATTTGCAAGCAAAAGGGAGAAAATGATGAGTTTGGTTGCATTTGGGGAGAAATGAAGACATCTGTTTAGAAATCTTCCTTAGAAATTTAGAGATACGGGACTAGAAGTTTATGTAGCTGGGATTTATCTGAGAAACCATCAGATTCAAGACAATAATTATAGTCCAAGAACTGATGATTAGTCTGATGAACAGACTGACAAGAAATATAACAAAAGACGTGGGACTAAGCTTTGAGGAGATGGGTAGTTTGGCACAGTTCGTGCCAGAAAGCATGGAGTAAGTATAAAAGCAGCAGATCTTTAATGCAAGTCACATGTAGAAGACATTAGTAAGCTTATATATTTAATATTCTGGAAATGTTGACTAGATGAGTAGTAATAGTGACTATAGGAAATTCAGTCTGAATTTTTAAAAACTTGTTTTGTTGGGCTCAAATTCTAAAATTCTACGTTTGTTTTTATCCTTAGAGTTTCTGAAGACCACAGCATGTTGAAAAAAAGAAAATGTACTCATTTTTGGCTGCCACAACTATATATTCTTTTTAAAAGTAAATATGTATTTAGTTAGATTAAGAATTAGAAACAACTCATTATAAGAAAATGTGGACCTATAACATGTTTTTAATTTTAATACTATAGTCACTAAAATGTGAAATTCATGAGACTCAAATATCCAGGTGAAAAGAAACCAGCCATCTGAATGATTTTGTCTGTATAATACTTACATCTAGATAGACCCAGATGACTGATAACATTCACAATTTTCTGTGGAATATTGAATTTTTTTGCTAATCATGTTTCTTTAGAATTGTTTTTAATTATGTGCTTATGATTGAGAGTACAAAATTTCAAAAGCATATGAAAATTAACATTGGCCAGCCACGTGTTGTGGCTCACTTGTGTTATCTCGGCACTTTGGGAGACTGAGGTGAGAGGATTGCGTGAGCCCAGAAGTTCAAGACCAGCCTGGGCAACATAGCAAGACTCTGTCTCTACAAAAAATTTAAAAATTAACTGGGCAGGTGTGGTGGCACATGCCTGTAGTCCCAGCTACTCAGGAGGCGGAGGCCAGAGGATGGCTTGAGCTCAGGAGTTTTAAGCTACAGTGAGCTATAATAGCACTACCGTACTCCAGCTAGGGTGACAGAACAAGATCCTGTCTCAAAAAACAAAAAACAAAACAAAACAAACAAACAAAAAGAACATTTAAGTGTTTCAGATGTTCTGGAATTTTAGGAGACTTCTCTTTGAATATTGTACTTCTTTATTTTTTCAAAAGTACCTCTTTGATTATATGTATGTGTCTATCTATGTAGATATAGATATCTTTTCACTATTCTGGGGGTGGGGAAGAGTTTATATGTCACTGTATAACATTCTCATCAAAATGATCTCCCTCAATGATTTTGTGTATATGTGTGTGTGTTCAGCCACAGTTCCTTCCGAAGACACCTGCCGAGGCAAATGCAGGTTTCCAGTGTTGATTTTAGCATGGGCACAGAACCTGTTTTACAACGAGGAGAAACAACAACCAGCATTGGGAGGATAAAGCCAGAACTCTACAAACAGAAATCAGTTGACTCTGAGGGCAACCAAAACGAAGATGTCAAAATCTGTGGGAAACTTAACTTTACCCTCCAGTATGATTATGAAAATGAACTTCTAGTTGTTAAAATTATCAAAGCTTTAGATCTCCCTGCTAAAGACTTCACAGGAACTTCTGACCCTTATGTGAAGATGTATCTTCTTCCAGATAGGAAAAAGAAATTTCAGACCCGCGTGCACAGAAAGACTTTAAATCCTCTATTTGATGAAACTTTTCAATTTCCTGTAGCATATGATCAACTAAGCAACCGAAAACTACATTTCAGTGTGTATGATTTTGACAGATTTTCTAGACATGACATGATTGGGGAAGTGATTCTTGATAATTTGTTTGAAGTCTCTGATCTCTCCAGGGAAGCCACAGTATGGAAAGATATTCACTGTGCTACCACAGTAAGTAGTAATTCCACCAATATATTGTTTTTTATTTGACTTACAATGCTATGTGACTAATTATTACCCAAATTATCGGAATAAGCCTTGCAGAGTTATGGAATTTATGTCTAAGATCCTGCAAAGGTAGAATTTCATTTCTACTAATAATAATTCAGGCACCTAATGCTGAATATACTAGTAACCCTAGTGATTGTGTGAATAAAAAAACGTAGCTCTTATAAATTAGCAGAACTGGTAGGCTATTTCTCCTTTAAAATATTCATCTGTAATATAAATATCCTATCTGCAGCACCAAGTTTCCTCACAGTTAGTATTGACTTTCATTATTTAAGGTAATTTTGTTATTTTCATTATTTTAGAAATTATTTCACTCTTTAAGAATAATGACTTCATTATTTAAGATAATTCATCAGATCAAACCTAAAATGTACTTTGATGCTATTTGGAAAAGTCCTTGGTTTGATCTGAAACAACCCATTATTTCAGAAGCTTTCAGGGAATACACACAATTACAATATATGAAATGATCAGTGATCAAGAAGTAATCATTGTTTACATTAAAACTTTTCTTTTTCATTACAAAATACTTTTTCTGATTATAAAATAATACCAACTTTAGTACTGAAAATTTAAAAAACAGTAAAAACACATAGCATAAAATTAAAATAATCTACAGTGCTACCAATTATATTTAATATTTTGGCATATTGCTTTCCAACTTTTTGCTATGCATATTTTAAAATATTAAGACCATACTAAGTTAAATTTTTTCAAGCCAATTTTCTTTCATTCTATATTTGTTTTAGTGCATGATGTTGAAATACATGATCCATTTAACCATTTTCTTACTGTTAGACACTTAAGTTAGGGATAAATTTTGTTATATGAAAAATTATGTTCTTTTTTTGTAAATCTGTTTTTTTTTTCAAGATTATTTGTCCGGTATAGAATTATAGAAGTGGAATTAGAGAAGTGATCTCTTAAGTTAGATTGTTTTCTTTATTAGTTTTTAAATGGGGACATTTAATTTTTTACCATCAGGTTGTTTTTACATATTTACTGTCTTTTGTTTGAGTTGTATCGCAACTTACAAGTTTAAAATGTTGAAGTTTTGAACAGAGACAAGGGATTATTTAAAATATAAGCATTTTTTTATTCAAAATAGCTTGTGTTTTTCCATTTATGAATGTTTTACTAATTACAATCAGTATGTGGGATAATTATATTGTCATTGTAAATTATGTGGATAAATTAATTTAAAAATTTATACTGCCAGTTCAATATTGTATTCCAGCATTATAACATTTTTGGTTGTTGGATTTTTGTGTCATAATCTCTATTGCAATATCTATTAAGGAACAAAGAAGGAATTTTGAAAGGGGATTATATTTCAAATGCACAGTGGGGCTCTTTTGATTTCACATTTGTGTTCATTTTATTACCTATATTCCCACGGGGAAAACATGATGAATACTAATTTTTATTGTTTTTAAAAATAACACCTTCTAGAATTCTACAAATGCAGATGGCAATTAATTGTTAGATTATTTCTCTTGATTCCTCAGTCTTATTATTACTTTTTATTTATTCAACAAATATTTACCTATATATGTTTGGCATGCTCTAAGTACTAGGGTTGCAACAAACACATTTCTATAAAAAAGTAAAGTATGTTATGTACATATATTCAGGCTCAGAGGTAAATAATCTGCCAATGAAATCTAAAAAATTAGTATAATCGACTAGGAGATTGTGATTTTTTTTTTTAAACATTCATACGTTTTCCAAACTGGTTCTACTTAGAAAAAAGTAGGAGTTCCTTGTGGAAACTTTAGTTTCTCATTGCTAATAATATTTATTCATTGTTTGGTAAATATTAATAAATTACTTAAATTTATTTGCAACTCTCCCATATGCCTTGTATATTAGTTTTTATTTCTGCTATAAAAATTACCACAAATTTAGCTTACACAAACATTTTACAGTTTGGTTAGAAATCTTTTACAGTTTGGTTAGAAATACAGTTTGGTTAGAAATTACCACAAATGTAGTCTTACACAAACATTTTACAGTTTGGTTAGAAACCTAACATGGGGCCAGGTGTGGTGGCTCATGCCTGTAATTCCCAACACTTTGGGAGGCCAAGGTGGGTGGATCACGAGGTCAAGAGTTCAAGACCAGCCTGGCCAGCATGGTGAAACCCCATCTCTACTAAAAATACAAAAAATTAACCAGACATGGTGTCACATGCCTGTAATCCCAGCTACTTGGGAGGCTGAATCAGGAGAATTGCTTGAACCCGGGAGGCGGAGGTCGCAGTGAGCTGAGATCGCAGCCACTGCACTCCAGCCTGGGCAACAGAGCGAGACTCCATCTCAAAAAAAAATAAAAATAAAAATAAAAATCTGACATGGATTTTACTAACTTAAATAAAATGAATGTGGTTGACAGGGCTGCATTCTTTTCTGGAGGCTCTTGGGGAGACCCATTTTCTTGGATTTTCCTGACTCTAGAGGCCACAGGCATTCATTGCCTTATATTGGGCCCCAGTGGGTAATCTAGGAAAATCTCCCCATCTCAAAATCCATAATCTTAATCACATCCACAAAGCCCCTTTTGCCATTTAAGTAACATTATTCACAGATTCCAGGAATTAGGACATGCCTATCTTTGGGGCTACCTTTATTCCACCTGCCACATCTGCAGACATTCTCATTTCAGAATTCTGAATATAAAAAGAAGTAGGCAGAAAATAAAATGTATTCTTAGATTATTCTAATAAAAGGGCATTCTCCTTTAACTAGAACATTGAACCACACATTATTCAGAATATTGCTTCTGGGTTTTTGTTTGGGAACATAATAATGAAACCTAAATTTCTAGACTGTGTGGCCAAATATTATGGTTAGAGTAGTATTTAATTAAAATTTCTGTTCAGCCTTTGAAAAATCATTAAACAATGTTACATCTTCTTATTAGTAAAAATAAAAAAAAAATGATGTATGTGGAAATTTCATTAAGAAACTTTCTTTTTCTATTCACACGTCATTAATTTTTAAGAATTTCATGCAGAAATTATTGAGTCTTCTAGAAAAATGGAGAATAAGAGGAAATAAATAAAAAGAAATGCAGTATATGCTCTCACTTGTTTAAGTCCTGCGGAAACCTACAGAGGCAAATCAAACTATGCAGACACAGACATAAAAGAGTTTATGTAACAAATAAAATAAATACTGGATTAAAAGACTATTGGCCAGGCACAGTGGCTCATGCCTGTAATCCCAGCAGTCTGGGAGGCTGAGGGGGGTGGATCACCTGAGGTCAGGATTTTGAGACCAGCCTGGCTAACATGGTGAGTGAAGCCCCGTCTCTACTAAAAATAAAAAATTAGCTGGGCATGGTGGCAAGCAGCTGTAGTCCCAGCTATTTGGGAGGCTGAGGCAGGAGAATCACTTGAACTAGGAGGTGGAGGCTACAGTGAACCAAGATGGCACCACTACACACCAGCCTGGGCAACAGAGTGAGACTCTGTCTCAAAAAAAAAAAAAAAAAGACTATCAGATTAAGAGACAATAATGACAAATATAAATATTCTTATAATTCTTATAACTTTATAATTTTAAGAACTCTTATAACTAAAGTTTTTATTTGAAATAATCATTTATGAGATTTTTAAAGAGTACCTTTGTATAATTGCAAATCTCCAATGTAATTTAGACCAAAATTTACTGGGGAAAAGAATACCATTTTGCTATCAGTTTGAAAAGCACTAGCTGGTGTATCTTTAATTTTTAATGATTCTTCTCAGAATCATTAAGACTTGCTTTATTATCATATTGTTGTAAATGTCATGGCTCTCTTTTTCCTTCTTCATGCTAATTATATAATTATATCTCATAATTGTTGAAAATAAGACTCTAGGAAAATCAGACCAGCGGCTTTTGTGATTGTTGTTTTTAAGGGTCTTAAGTGTCTCATTCCTACAAATTTTCATTACAGGGTCTCTGTCATATTTTCTTCCACAGGTCCAAAGGCCTGTGCAAGATCTTATCCAAAAAAATCTTCCTAGAACAGTTCATTCTCTAAAATTTTCTGTTCTACTGCATTTGATTCAAATAACTTTAATTTGATTACATAAATATTTACTGAGAACTTCCTGTGAACAAAGTTTAGTTCTAAAATTGAAAGAAAGACTGGTAAAATACAAGTTTTACTCAAGGACTTTAACAAAGGAGACAAATAACAAAGAAATAAAGTATATGCCTCAGTGTAAATTATTATATAATTGTTTCCTGATAGCCTCCACAAATGTGGTCTTGTCTACACACACAATTTTGGTACAGACTATATCCCATATGAAAATATTTCACATTGCCTTTCCATGATGATAGAATTCTGAAGAAAAGTGTTGGATGATTCTTGAAGAAAAAAACAGCATGAGGAAAAGGAAATAAATTAAGACTGTAGCATGTTTTCAGAGGGCAGAAAAGTAAAGTGTGAATATGAAATGAAGAGACTAAAGGGAACCCAAACCAGAATGTTATATTTAATCTATAATCAAGAGGACATTTAATGTCATAGGAGTTTCTATTTGTTTTGTTTTTTATTAGAAGAGTGAAATCACTGAAGCCATTATCTCATATGGCAACCCACGTGTACAATGGATCAGAGTGGGAGATTGTGAAATGTAGTGCTCAGGTAGGAATCTAACACCACAGACAAGATGAGATGGACAAAGCCTATTGAGGCTGGTAGCAATGAGAATGGAAAGAAGCTAATATATGCTAATGGAAGCATTGTCTGCTGCACTTATTTAAACATTCTGCAGGTATTTGTCTTATGTCTGCCACTAGACTCTGAGCTTCTGGAAAGCAGAAATCATCTTGTATATCTCTTGCATCCCTTACATAGTATGAGTGCTTAGTGGTTAATGAATAAATGCTTTTTGAATGTTATTTAACATAGCAAATTTTCATATGAGATTAAGTGTAGAGATGTATAAATACAGATCTACCACTACCAGAGGAAAAAACAATGGGATGTTGTACCCTATTGATTACAAATAAACAAGGATATGCTTAGGTGTACTTTGTTAATGTTAGCTACTTTTTGTAGACAAATTCTTTTTAATATTCAGGGTATGGCAGCCATATATACATGAAATCAAGCAGGAACATTTTAAATTTATTAAGAAAAATGTTATCAGGTTGAAACAAGAGGCATATATTTTGTATTTATGATTTCATTAATAATAAATTATATATGAAGGATTAATATTTTTCAGGAAGTAGCAATTGTTTTGAAATTTGATACTGACAAAAGAAACAATAAAGGTGAATCTTCATTCTGTGCAAAAATTTAGTTTTCACTTTAGCAATCACCCTACTATATATCACAAATCTGGCAAGCCAACCACCTCTAATACGAGCATAGAAACATCTCCAGCATAGGGAATAATCATATTAAAAAACAGTGTGTACCCTATGCTGCTATTTCTGAAATGTAAAGGAGAAATACATATTCATATTCAGTTATATATACAAAAAAGTCTATGTAAAGACACACGGGAATTTAGTAGTAGAAGTTACCTATTGGCAACTGGATAGAATGAATATATGGTAGAAACTGGATGAATGACTATAGAAAAAGAATGATTTGCAGCATGTGGCTTTATATACATTTTATGTTTAAGCTATTATGCATAACATTATGTTGAATTTTGTTAGTCAATCACTATAAAGACTATTTTTTTTTTTTTTGAGACAGAATCTCACTCTATCCCTCAGGCTGGAGTTCAGTGGTGTGGTCTCGGCTCACTGCAGCCTCCACCTCCCCAGGTTCTAGCAATTCTCCCGCCTCAGCCTCCTGAATTAGCTGGTATTACAGCATGTGCTACCATGCCCAGCTAATTTTTGTATTTTTAGTGGAGATGGGGTTTCACCGTGTTGGCCAGGCTGGTCTCGAACTCCTGACCTCAAGTGATCTGCCTGCCTCGGTCTCCCAAAGTGTTGGGATTACAGGCGTGAGCCACCACACCTGACCAAGACTAATGTATTTTCAATATTTAAATGTAGTTTTCCTATGCATACTCAAGAAGCCATTGAAAATATAGGTAGACAAGGAAAAGATTTCCTTTTTTTTTAACATAACTACCTTCATTTGCATATGTATTTATTTACTTACCTATTCAATGAAATTTTTTTTTTTGCACCAACTGTGTTCTACACACTTTAAAATTCTTGCAAGTAAGGAAGTTGCTTGTGTATATCACATTGACCTGGTTACAGTTATAAAATGAATCTATTATATTCTAACTAAGCATCTGTCAGGTATTGTTTGAAAGAGTACACCTTGACAGGACAAGTACAAAGGAACTGTTGTATTCATTGTATCAGCAATTCAGAGTATTGGATGCACCTGCTGAGCTTCAGTTTGAAATAACATATTTTATTACACATTACTAAAATTTTTTAATATTTAAAATTATTTTTAATCTAGAGGTGTCTTTTTAATTCTACCCCCAATCATCCTGGATCAATCATAGGATCAGAATAATACTATATATTTTTCCCATTTAGCTATCAATGAATTATCTTCTAAAGTTCATTAACTATGAAATATGTGTCAGCTAATAACATTTTAAAGAGTGGCAAAATTCCAGTTTTATTTTAAGGAAAAGAGTATGATGGAAAGTGGGGCAGTAGGGAGCAAACCTTTCTGGTCAGGGGCTGTCTGTCTTACCAGGTCTCCTGGGGTGTAACAGTCAGTATTGTAGCTATCGACCTGCAGGTTGGGACAATGAACCCACATCTGCTCCTCTATGAACATTCCTAGTTTTCTGTTTCATCTCTGCGATAAACCTGGCCTTGGTGTGTCACAGATTACACGTCTGCTTATGGGCCACCAGTAACTGATGATAGATTAACTCAAATGATGAAAGTAAATTCCATGAACCTGTATGTAAGGTCTTTTACTTTGCGAGAATTGATGGGAAGCATCTATGTTAATTTAAAATTAAATTTAACTTCAGTTTAAAAATAGTAGAGTCCTTCATATACTATCATAAGACCATGAGAGTTCAGTTCCCAAAGTATGATTTTTCTTGGCCTTAACATCTGCCTAACTCAGCCAGCCTACTTAAAGGAGCTTTGTCTCATGAATAATATTAAATAAATCATCATAATTTATTATGTTATTTTCAGGTTAGATCACATCTATGCACATTTAGAGAACAAGGTTTTGTTGTCTGATCAGTGTGTTTTGACTACTTTTACTTTCATGGGAAAGATTGTAGGTAAGCGGCTATAAAATAGCCCACAACAATTATTATATTAGCCTTTTATTAGCAGTTTAAAGAGCAGCTTCCTGTAACATTGATTACAGCCTTCTGTTTTACAAAACAAAAAAGTCAAAGTTAATGAAAATCTGAAACTTAAATTTGTGCCACCAGTTTTAAATGTAATTCAGCATTGATGCCATGCTTTTTAGATAAATCTAGAGTTGCTGGGTAAGCACAGTACGATATGTGCTTCCAGTGATAGACTCATTGGAAGGGTGTCATTTGAAAATGAGTATCAATCAGCCACTTAAGGAATAGCTCCCAACCGTATTTTAGTCATAATATTTGGGGTTGTTTGAAAAGCAAAAGGATGATTTGTTGCCTAAATTCATCACATCTACATAATTTCCCATTTAAATTCCTACATGGTTGTACTGGTAAAGATTATAACTCCCATCTAGCTTCCCCACTATATCCTTGAGACTATCTCTTTCTCTGTGTCTGTAGTTAGAGGCAATGTAGCCTGTAAGTGCTTAATGAAGCACTGAAGTCTCTGTAACAAACCCACATTTCTTTATACTCCTGCTGTGTCACTTATCTCTGTATGGCTTGACCAAGTTACTAAATCTCTCTAAGTGTTAATTATAGTATCTGTAAAATGGGAATTATGAGAAGGCTAACCATAGTTTGTTGTTAGGACTAAATAACATAAGTGATTAGCACAGTCAGATATTTGTAAATGTTCCATATATGCCATAGGATATATTTTATGGTAGGTTTTTGTTATTGTTTAGATAGCTATCATATTAAATAGGAATAAAGACCTTGATGCTAAAAATTATATCATAGTAGTAGTATCATAAGGGATAATTTTAAGTGTTACATTTTTCTATTCAAGTCAGAAAGTTTTCAGAGTTCCTTTAATTCTTTTTAGTTACTGTGTGCTGTGATTCAGTGAGTAGATATTATTGCTTTTTGTTTGTTTGTTTGTTTTGAGACAGAGTTTCGGTCTGTCACCCAAGCTGGAGTGCAGTGGCATGATCTCGGCTCGTTGCAACCTCCGCCTCCCAGGTTCATGCCATTCTCCTGCCTCAGCCTCCCAAGTAGCTGTGACTACAGGCGCCCACCACCACGCTCGGCTAATTTTTTGTATTTTTAGTAGAGATGGGGTTTCACTGTGTTAGCCAGGATGGTCTCGATCTCCTGACCTCATGATCCACCCGCCTCAGCCTCCCAAAGTGCTGGGATTACAGGTGTGAGCCACCGCGCCCGGCCTGATACTATTGCTTCTTTTTATAATGTATGATGTGTATACTCATAATGCCGTCTGGCCTGGACCTCATCTCCTACCTGGAGACAGTATCCCAATTATTTTTCACACATTCATTGAGGATTTTGGCATCTTCATTTCTCTCCACTTCCACTCTGGGTATCACCCTCCTGAACACCCTATTCCACTGCCTATCCTTCCCATCCCTTCCGATTTCTGACTCTACCTATTCTTTATGAACTGGCAGTTAGTTCTAACTTTCCCTGTTCATTTCCGCCACTCTCCTGTATGACTTCTCTGCATCAATTTCACCTCACTCAAAGCAATAGGTTTCCAGGCCCACAAGCTTTCTTATTGACTGATACCTCTGCCTGAAATGTCCATTGTCCCTGTTTCTGCCTGGGAAGCCTCACTCATCTTTTTATTTTCAACTCAGATTCATATTCTCTTCCTTGGGAGAGTCAGACTTCTCCCAAGGAAGGGGGCTCCTTGGGCTTCTTCCTAGGGGAAGAGGGCTCTCTTCCCTTTCCATTAGGCACTTTGTTCCCTCTGTTCCCTCACCAGTCTGCATCTTATAAAACCTCAGAAGCTGAAGATGCTGTATATCTCCTAGGTGTGTCTTTAGGTTCAGTGAGTGCTGTTCTCTACCCTGTTTGGTGCCTCAAAAGGCTGGTCGGTTTGGTTCAGACTTTCTGTCCTGAGGCAAGACAGAAAGGGCGGAAGAATGACCTTGGGAAATATATTTCTGTCCATTGCTCTCTTCCCCTGCAAGAAAACCTCAGGCTGTCTATGCCCTTCATCTGAGGGTACAGTTTTTCTCAAAGCAGGCCTTTTTTCTGACCACTTTCTTTCTGAATCCAGGTAACTGTCCCCACTTGCTGTTTAAGTCCTAGTGGTCATGACAGCCTCTGCTGTTACCACTCCAGGGTAACTGTCTCTTGTGGTTCCTCCTCCCAGCTCACATCTCTGTGAATAGCCCTTCACGAAGCCCTCTGGAATTACTCTGATTTGTGTGTGCCATCTGTTTCCTGCTGGACCCCTCACTGATACTCTAAAGAAAGAAAATGTTTCCTAATTACAAACTGGTTAATTTCCTATAACCTTTCTGGACCATGCTGTGTATGTGTCTGTATATCTATGTGCTCATTACCTTAGGAGAAATCAAATTAGTCCTTCAAAGGCTGATGATAAGACAAGGCTTCAACCACAGAAAGTTAGAAAGAGCCGTGATCATTGCTAAAACACTCTACACTTTATTACATAAAGAACTTCAAAGGATCTCCTTAATGTGGAATTCTGGGCCCAGCACGGTGGCTCACGCCTGTAATCCCAGCACTTTGGGAGGCCGAGGTGAGTGGATCACGAGGTCAAGAGATTGAGACCATCCTGGCCAACATGGTGAAACCTCGTCTCTACTAGTCCCAGCTATTTGGGAGGCTGAGGCAGAATTGCTTCAACCCAGGAGGTGGAGGTTGCAGTGAGCCAAGATCGCGCCACTGCACTCCAGCCTGGCGACAGAGCGAGACTCCATCTCAAAAAAAAAAAAAAAGTGGAATTCCACATTTCATTGCAATTGAAAAAGTAAGAATTTCTGCCTCTTAAGATTTCAGACACAGATTATAGGTCATTTATTAAGAGTAGCCTGGAAAAAATAACTCTCTGTGTTAATTTTATAGGTTCCAAAACATATTTTTATGTTCCCAGTTTCTTACCTTAGAAATTTAAAATATAAATACTTATAAAATGCCACAGATGTTTCTGCTTTTTAATTAGAGTATTCTGATGTAAATTACTCTTTTATTAACAGTAGTGATCTTTGTGACCATTAATTATATAAACTTAGCAGATTTTCATTTCTGTCCAATGTTCTCTTATATTTAAAATATCTCATCTCTGTTATAAGTTTGCATGCTTCCTGCATTCTTTACTGCTCCAATTTGTTGCTTTCAGGTTGAATAATCAAATACCCAAATTACATAATTGTATATAAATAAAATCAATATCTTAAATCATGACCTGAGATCTTGTTCTCAGAGAAAGTGCATAAGATTTGTAATAGGTCAGAAGTCTTTTCATACTACCTTAAAAGTTCATGGGCATATTCTGGGCAGGATTTTGAGAGTCTCATGTCTAGATCATATAATCATTATTTTAGAATTGGTAAAGAGTCCAAGTTTAATCCTTTCTTTTTATAGTTTAGAAAACTGAAGCCCAAGGATGTTAAGAAAATAATTAAAATTAACAAAGCTGATTAGTAGAAGAGCCAGAACTAGGTGTTAAATCTTTCATTCCTAGTTCAGCTGTTCGCCCTGAATGATATTAGAGTTTTACCATATTTGAAATATACTAAAGAGAAAGGAAAAGAAATGAATTTTCTTGTGAAACACGGAAGTCCAACTATTGGCTTACAGAATTGGAATTGCCGAAACTAATATAATTTGAATTACAGAAATTTGTAACATAATACTTGTGGCAAAAACATATGCATAAGGCCTTTAAAACTTATAATCCTGTCAAATCTGTCTTGTAAAACTGTGACTGATATGCATAGAGAACTAAGCAATGCTTCTCTTTGCCTTGTTTTAAAAATCAATTGGAGTCAATGTTATTTCAGAAAATGTCCAGGCAATTTTTCTCTTTTGGATGGAATTAACAAAAAATCCATATTTGGGTTATTATTCTATCAGCTGTGTCCTGGTGTATTTTAATGCTTGAAGGTTGTAGGAGATAAAGAGAAGCTATTTAGCTCCCTAATGCTCCAGCAACATAGCTGGGCCTATTGTAAGTTCTAGGAATTTAGTGAGGTTCCAAAGATACTGTTAAAAGTTGTTCTATTTCTTCCTTGCATTTAACCAGTATAACTATTATTAGTTATTAACACACTCATATAGTGACAAGAATATGCAGATGCTTTTTAAATGCAAATGTTCAGAATAATTCTTCTCCTCCTCTGTAACAGGCTGCATTAAGCAGTTTGCTATAAATCAAGTATCTGATTTTCTAATTTCTAAAAAACTTTTTCAAAGAAATATAGTACCTTATCTGCTGGCTTTGAAATCTAAGACCACAAAAACAATTTTGTTTTTCTGGCCACTAAAATTGTAGGCACTATTTCTTTTTATGTTTTGTTTTGTTTGTTTGTTTGTTTTGAGACGGAGTCTCGCTCTGTCGCTCAGGCTGGAGTGCAGTGGCGTGATCTCGGCTCACTGCAAGCTCCACCTCCTGGCTTCACGCCGTTCTCCTGCCTCAGCCTCCCGAGTACCTGGGACTACAGGCACCCACCACCACGCCCGGCTAATTTTTTTGTGTTTTTAGTAGAGACAGGGTTTCACCATGTTAGCCAGGATGGTCTTGATCTCCTGACCTCATGGTCTGCCCGCCTTGGCTCCCAAAGTGCTGGGTTTACAGGCGTGAGCCACCGTGCCTGTGTAAGCACTATTTCTATTAGGTAAAGCCACAGAGTAAAGTACGAAAGTACAGGAATTAAAATGCTAATGAGTATCCTTTAATTAGAATCCTGGGATGGTTACCTTTAGCTGTATCGCTTAGAATAAGTTGCTTAACATTTCTGAAATTATTTCTTCATCCACAAAAAGAGATTTGTAATAATATCAACCCAACAGGAATATTTTGAAAGTAAAATTAGATAATAAACGTAAAATGTTTGTAAAATTTAAAGTTTCTAATTGTCAGTTATCCCTGACATGCTAGCATGTTGCACATAGAGAAAACACCTTCTTGTTATCCACTCGACTGCTAATATCCCAGCTACTTCCATGTCCTAAAGTTCTTGCCCTAATATTTAGATTTCTTAAATGTATTACCCTCATATTTTGAAAAAATGAATGAGAGATACTGATGCCTTAACTCTTTTCCTAAATCTTAAAAAATGAACAAAATGTGGCAATATTATACAAGACTATGCCATGATACATATTGCATTAAGTCCTGCACATTTAATTCAGTAAACCAGAGACCTTACTGACTGGATACCCATTTTATTCATGCTTTTACAGTGCTTTTAGATTTTTCAATATCTATCATCTCACACCCCATGGTAAGTAAAAGGAAGCTGGCACCTATCAAATACCAGTCTACGGAAGAGTGTAGATAACTGGACACAGAAAATTGTGCCCAAACACACTGTTATCATAACAAGTAGACTGCTAATGTTCTAATGTATAATCTACTTATATAGGGAGGAGCAAGGATCTTACACCCATCAACCCAGCAAACTTTTATTTAATTCTCCTGTTTACCAGACACTCTTCCCAGCATCTTAGGACATAAAGTGTTCCTTTTCTATAAGGCCAACATTCTAGAAAAGAAGACAGATAATAATGAAGGAAATATACAATATGCACATGAATGAAGGCACGTACTATATGAAACATGAGGCAGGGCAGGAACTAGGCAGTTGTAGTGGAGTGGGGGCCACCCTAGATAGAGTGCTCAGATAAGAACTCTCTGATGAGAGTGATGGGAGATGAAATCAGAGAGATAGCCGAGAGTCAGGTCATCTAGAGTCTTCAGGCCATGGAAAGAGCTTTGGGTTTTATTCTGAGTGACATTTGAGGCTATTGATGGCTTTTGTTGAGAAGTGAGCCATAGACTCCCTTAGAATCAATAAGATCTGTGGCTATTACGTGGAGAAGAAACTTTGAGAGCAAGAAGTGGAACAATGTCAATCAATTTAAGATAGACTCTAAAATAGTGGAGCCAAGTTCATCCAGTCTGGGTGTCTATATACAGCAATACTTACAGGGACTCCTTTAAGAATTTTGTAAAAATATTTAAAAGCATCAAACAGTCTAAGGAGAGTTGTATATAGTTTATTACACAGGTTTTCATGCCCCTATCTGTAAATGATGATGGAAGTTTGAGAATAAGTCTCTGGTTTTTTGCATCCAGAAGCTTATGATTATCTCTTAACCAGTATGAGGAAGAGAAGAGTTGTTATGAAATTTGTATCCTTTTTTTGTGTCTCAAGTTGCACTTGTCTCAGTATCTATGTTGGGCTATTCCCTCTTACTTCACTGTCTTCATTACACAGCTAATTTTGAGACTTGATTAGTTAAATCAAGGAAGGATTGTTTTAAGGCCTCAGCTCTGTCACTTTGTGGCTCCTGATAGCTAAAGTCCATGGTTGTGTTGGATAGGACAAGAGCTAAACCATTCTGGCATCTATGAGGATGGTGCAAAAGTAATTGCGGTTTTTGCAATTTTTTTTTTTTTTTTTTTTTTTTTTTTTAATGGCAAAAACCACAATTATTTTTGCACCAAACTAGTAGTTATTTCCCATTTGGAAGGGAACTGAAAATGGATCTCCCATTGAGCAGAAACGTGGGCATTCTTAAACAGTGTCCTGGCAATAGTAGCTCTGGGTGGTTGCTGTTAATCGCTTAATGCCCAGAGGGGTTTTGTAATTATCCTGTCTCTAACACAGCCATGTTCTTTGCCCCGTTCCTGCCCTGACCTCAGCTATGCTTCACCTGGATTTAGTGCCATGGCCAAGCACAATGCTTAAGATTATGTGCTTAGTATAAAATTCATTCCTTCTTTCATGCAGAAACACAAGGAGGTCCTGCTAAAAGGCACCTGGTGAGCATTTTCTTTATCTTCAAGTAGAGAAGGCAGAAAAGAGTGAATAATGAAAATATGATGTAAAAAATCCAGTAATCTCACTAGGTTTTGTGATAGAAGCCTCCTTTTCCTGTATCTTCCCTGACCTCTATGGAACACAATGAAACCTGATTGAATCAGAATCACTGGGAGGAAGAGGAAAGGCAGGGAGGGCGTGTTGTGCAAAAATTGTGCTTCTTTGAAGGAAAAGGGGAAAGTGGGCTAGAAACTGGAAAAGGGTTACAATGTTAATTACATTTCCTGATTGTACTCCATCAAATTGCTTCTTCCTCCCTCCCATTTGCCATCTAGAGTCAGTAGACTGCATGTGCTGTCTGGCTGGGGGAAATTACCAGATATGTAAGGAAAAAGAGCAATTTACAGACCTTAGGGATACATTTGATTCTGAAATTTTAGTGTGCTATAGAATTACAGCAAACATAATCCCATATCACACAAGACTAGAGAGCTCTATAGAGAAATAAGGTCCAATAAAACTAATAGATAAGTATCCTCTAACTGTAGCTCTCCAAACCTTGCATGTATCTTTAAATGGCTCAAAACTATTATGACTGGTTTATTGTATTCTCAAGGTCATCTTACGTGGGCAAGCACTTGCACAATTTTAGGAAATTTCATTCACACAAACCACAACACCCGTAAAAAGTGTCTTCGTCACTTGTTTTCTAGTTGCTGGTAGCTTTCACTCCTTCAAACAGTAGATGCCTCTCCTGCAACTAACGGAAGTCATGACCTGGCCTGATACCTTATTATTTATTTACTCATTTAGTAAGCTTTTGTATGAACATTCACCTTATGATAATCACTGACCTCAGAAACATGGTTTTGAGCAAAAAAGAAAAGTAGTATGTTTTCTGGCACCTACTGTGTGTCAGGCTGCAAACTGCACTCTGACATATATTGTCTTTGTATATTATCCCTTTTAAATATAACTGCAACCCCTCCACATAATTGTTATTAGCCATAAAAATGGATCTCATCCTGACTGCAGAGACAGTCAGAGGTGATTTGATTATGTGCTCCTGAGGAGAGGCCATTTAGAATAAGGCCACTGTGTTGCCATTCAAATCATACTCTGGCATTGCCAGAGCCAGTGCTTTCTGTTTGACCTTCTGGTCATCACTGAGCACTCTAAGCCTCCCCTCACAGCCTCCTTATAAGCTGACCCCTCTGTTTCTAATTCCCTTTGCCTTTACTCATTTTTCATCATTTACATTGTCACCCACCTCTAATGCCCTCCTAGATCGTCATGGAAAGAATCAAATATCTTTCATCGCTCTTCCCATAATTAAAATCCAAGTATCTCTCTAGAAAACATTTACAAAACAAGATAAAAAAAAATAAAATAAAATAAAAAGCAGCCAGGCGTTGGCTCACGCCTGTAATCCTAGCAGTTTGGGAGGCCAAGGTGGGCAGATCACCTGAAGTCAGGAGTTCAAGACCAGTCTGGCCAACATGGCGAAACCCCGTCTCTACTAAAAATACAAAAATTTGCTAGGCTTGGTGGCATGTGCCTGTAATCCCAGCTACTCAGGAGGCTGAGGCAGGATAATTGCTTGAACCCAGGAGGCAGAGGTTGCAGTGAGCTGAGATCTTGCCCGCACTCCAGCCTGGGCAACAGAGGGAGACTCCGTCTCAAAAAAACAAAACAACAACAACAACAAAAAAAAACGTAATTTAACATTATGCAGACCTGTGTTATCGTTAAAGCTTGTCCCCTAATTAATTGTGTGGTGTTCTTCAAGGTTAAGTAACTTGTCCAAAATCACATATAAGCCCTAGGAGGAGAAAAATTGTGTCTTAGTCGTCAGTGTTTCTTCAATGACTAGAAGAGTGCTTGGCATTTTTTATGCACTCAGTAAACATGACCGTGCTAATGAATGAATGAAAGTTTAGAGATTGACCAGACATTATGTGTGTGTGTGTGTATACACATACATATGTACATACATGTATATATGTTTACACCAGGCACTTTACATGTTTGCTATCTACCTTGCAAATTATTTATTTTATATATATATAGAGGGTGGAGTTTTTGGGTTGTGGGAGCATAATAAAAAATTTGTAAGATGAAGGCAGAAAAAAAATGTAGAGACTAGATTAGTAGGGGCCACATGTGTCATGTCAAATAGTTGGGACTTCATATTGTATATCCTGCGTGTCCACCACACATCAGATAATCCTCTTGAGAATTTTAGCGAGCCAGAAGATCGTATAAATGACATTGCACATTTATTATCCCGTATGGCCTTTCCTCATGAATCCCCAACTAGATCAAGCCTGATACGCTCAGCCTTGAGGATTGGATCCTTCCTCCTCTAGCATATTATCTGGAAGTTTAAATGATAGCCACTTTTTATGACTACTTGTTCTTGACCTATAAATTTATCTGTTCACATCAGCGATTGTTTGTGGTCTTTTCAAGGAGGCTCCGCCAGGACTATAGCAAACAAAGCCTGAAAGGGCTTGACCAGACATTCTCCAACATGCCTAAACTATATATGTTATTTAGTTCTCATTTTTTACCAGTGCTTAAAATTACAAAATTTTAGAGCTGGAAAATAAATTAGCTCATCTCTTTGAGCACCTCATGTTATACCAAGGAAACTGAGGTCAAGTGAGGTTAAGTAGCTTGTTCAAGGTTAAATTCCAGGTGAATGAGAAGTGTAGGTCAGGGAGAAATACATTTTACAGTGGTTTGAGTCCAATAGACCCACTCTGGGTCTGTATTTTGTTGTAGCTTATTGTGTGGGCAGGTGGATGAAGGACTAGTAACTTGATGAAGAAGCTCATTTGATCTAGTTCTACATCTCACTTTTAACTGTGTGAAGAAAATCATCTGTTTTCTTACCACCAAGGAAATGTGGAAGACAGGCTGCATTCAAGGTGCTAAGTTGATGTAATGACTGCTATCACCACAGCAACCAATTATTTGTTTAGTTTTTTTTTCAATACGTGTTAATGATTCTTACTTCCTAATATATCACTGAATTCAAACTTTCCCTCAGCCAACATCTTCCCACACCAACTTTACTTCAATGGCCTCTTTCTCTTATGTCTTTTTTCATCCTAATCTAGCCTACTCAAGATAAAGAAATTTTTTTTCAAATATTATTTTCATTAACATCATTATTGTTTTTGAGTGCCTGTTTACACCAGGCACTTTACATGTTTGATATCTACCTTTTGAGTTACTTATTATAGTCTTCATTTTATTTGCAATTAAACTCAAGCTCAGGGAGGTCAAGTATTTTTGCCATGTGCTTGGGAATAGAACGTGGAAGATTTGGTATTTTTAACTCCAGTTTTTTTGACCCAGGAACCTACGCCCTTTCCACTCTGCCAAGCTCCCACCCTTTCATGTCACCAACACCTTGCCCATAGAAGACATCAAACAACTACATCAAGCCTAACTCTCCTCTAACATGTTTCCAAACTCCATATTTCTCAATGCGTACTGACCATTTTATTTCTGAGTATAATCATAGTACTCACGTACAGCATTATTCCTCATCACCCTGTGAAGTCCCATCTGGTTAATTCTTTAAGCCCAACCTAATGATTACTTTCCTCCAGGAATACTTCTCTTGGTTAATAGACCTTCTAGTTATGGAGGCTTTAATCTGCCTTCTCTCCATCTCTTACACTCCATTGCTACAGCTTGATTTTACTATTAGTCCTGTAACAGGATGTGCAATGCAAATATTTGCATGTCAATTTATCTTTCCAGTGACTTTTATTTTTATTTTGGAAAGAGACTACATGGAAAAAACTTTATAACTGTGACTCAGTCTGTGAGGTTGACTATAGCCAATCATCAAAAAATGGTCTTTATCTACCCAGCTACATTCTGGTGGAGCCAGCATGAAGAAATCAAATTTATAACCTCTGAGCCAGCTTCAGTGTTACCCTTTTTTCATATGCTCCTTTTCCAAGTAGGAACTCTGAAGATTATTATTGTGATTGTTCAGCGAAATAAATTAGTGTGTATGAGAATGGAATAAAAATCTTCTTACCCAAAATAAATTTTATGGAATACTGCATCCTAGACTTTATAACAGGCTTTCAAATGGTTATTTGCCCCAAAATACAAGAATTTTTCAGAGGTTGATATGGGAAACTCATGTTTATATAAAATTGTAGAAAAATGAGACTACATGCAATTTTCAGAAACTCAAAGCCTTACTCATTTTAAGCTGAAATTATAATACCACTTTAAACATTTTAAGCATTTTGGATAAAAATAATCCTGAAAGATAGTGCACATGTCTCTATTTTCTTGAACAGAACATATAGGATATATTTCCTTACCTTGATGACTCAAGGTCATTACTTTAAATATTATTTACTGTTCAAGTCTGTAATAAAATGTTGAGTTTAAGTTACTGAGGCATTATTATTGTTTAATACCCCTAATACAAAAAGATTCCAATTTGCTATTCTTTTTAGAATATTTGCTTCTTTTTTTTAGCAGTTTTGTACCTTTGTAGCTATTTTTACTTGCTGTCTTCACTAAACTTACTGCTATTAATTTCCCCATCTCCACATTGCGTGTGTGAGATTGGACCCGCCTGTAACCCCAGCACTTTGGGAGACCGAGGCAGGTAGATGCTTAAGCCCAGGAGTTCAAGACCAGCCTGGCCAACATGGTGAAACCCTGTCTCTACAAAAAATACCAAAATTAACCAGGCTTGGTGGTACATGCCTATAATCCCAGCTAGGCTGTGGTGGGAGGATCACCTGAGCCCGAGAGGTTGAGCCTGCCATGAGCAATGGTTGCACTACTGCCCTCCAGCCTGGGTGACAGAGTGAGAGTCCCTGTCTCAAAAAAAAAAAAAAAAAACATGTTAGAAGGAAGAGAAGGGTGTTCCTTCTTCAGCAGTAGGCTGTGCTCTTTCTGTTTTTCTTCAACCCTCTTCTATGGGATCTTGCTCACTATTTTTGGTCTACAGCAATCCACTAGCCCAAAGGATATCCAGTTGGATATACCTTTCTTTCAAAATAGTTTTTGTTTACTAATAGTCTTGCAATACTAATCACTTCCATTATTAAGCTTTTCATTTATCCAGTACTTACTGAATGCCTGATATATCTAAGACACTGCTGTATGTGCTAGCAATACAGTAGTAAACAAAACATCATTCCTTATCACATGCCAAACCCTGTATAAAGTGCCTTATGCTTTATTTACATTATCTCCTTTAATGCTTACAACCCTTGTGAAGTGAGCGTTATTCTCAATTTGAAAATGAAATTTTGGAGATTAAAAACTTAATTGAATTTCCCAGGACCTCACTTTTAGAAAGTAGAAAACTGGGGGTCAAACACAAATTTAATTAGTTTTTTCTCTGAATTACTGGTCTGTACGACTTCTAGACCATGAATAAAGAAATGAGAATCATGTAAATCAGAACCTGAGCTATATGAGTAAGCCCAATAGATGTTAATAGTGTATCATGAAAAAAGTTTAAGACCCCAGCTCTGTGGACCTGGGTGCATAATCAGCGAGTTATTTCCCCCAAAAGTAAACCTGCCACAAATTTCTTACCAGGCATGGCTTCACTGAATCCTGTAAACAACTCTTTAAGGAGCATCCTAAATTGTCCATTGTCCACATTCATTTTCATTTGTCCACCATCTATGCAGTCAAAGACCACATATAAATCTATATCAGGGTACTGTGGACAGTTCTGCTTTATAAAAATGAAATAAAACAGGTCAAGTTTTATCCAGATTAATTAAATAATGTATTCAGTTCTTCAAAAAATATGAACTGGTATGTATCAGCTATGCACCGTGCACTTCAGTACGTTGTAGAAAGTAAGACAGCCAAGAACCCTGCTCTCCTGGGTGTTATATCTGGGAGTCAGGGAAACAAACAAAAAAGAATTTAAAGATGATATCAGACAATAAGTACTACAAAAATATGTGAAGGGTCTGGGAGTGAGGTGAGTATAGGATATGAAGGATGTACAGTCTCAGAATGAATGATGGGAGAAGACCCCACTGCAGAGATGCTGTTTGAGTTGAGTTCTGCATGGTAAGAAGTCAGCCATATAAAGATTTAAGAGAAAGAAGTACTAGTCAAAGGGAAAAAAAAACACACAGAGGCCCCAAAGCAGGAACAAACTTCATTTGTTTGAGTAACACACACACATGCACACACACACACAGAAAGACATTTGTGTCTGCATCAGACCTTGGAGGGGAAAGGAATGAAAAAATGTTAGAGAGAAAGGTAGGGCCCAGATGACATAAACCTTATGTGTGTGACGTTCTAATGTATTAGCCAAACAAAGACATATTTAAATGTGGACAGATTGGAAGGCTGAGGTGGGCACATCACTTGAGGTCAAGAGTTTGAGAGCAGACTGGCCAACAGTCGAAACTAAAAATACAAAAATTAGCCAGGTGTGGTGTTGCATGCCTGTAATCCCAGCTACTCAGGTGGCTGAGACAGGAGAATTGCTTGAACAGAGGTGGAGGCTGCAGTGAGCCGAGGTCATACCACTGCACTCCAGCCTGGGCAACAGAGCGAGACTCTGTTTCAAAAAACAAATGTGGACGGGGATGTTTTTAATAATTACACCATAATAATAGGTATAAACCAGGAATGTCCCAGGCACACCAGGACTTGAAGTTATTCCACTTACATGCCAGGGTAAGGAGTTTGGATTTTATTCCACTACAGTTGTGATCCCTTAAACAGTTTTAAGCAAGAGATTTGCATTTCATAAATGATCACCTTGCTGTGTGAAGATTAACTTCTGGAATGAGAATTTTGTTTTAGAGGCTAGTGAAGTAATCCTGGCAAGTGGTGATGGTGGCTTGAATGGCAGTAGTAGAGCTGAAAAGAAAGTCACTGATTTGGGATATATTTTGTAGATAGTGTAGACAGGACTTGCCCATGGGTTGCTCATAGGGTGAGGATAAAAGAATAATAGTCACTACTGGGTTTTTGGCTTCAGCCTTTGGGTGAATTATGATGCCGTTTGTTGATTGCGGAAACACTGACAGAAGAATCAGTTTTGGAAGATGATGGGGCATGGGTGGAATCAGTAGTCTGGTTTTGACTATGTTGTTTGAGATTCTTGTTGTAAATACAAGTGGAGATAGCAAATAAGCAACTGGGATACACTCTTTTTGCTTACTGCATTCAGAATAGCTTTCTTGCAATGTTATCTGTATTATCCTCAATAAAACAATTTAAAATGACATTCCAGTATTCTACTAAAATGATTATTTTTGGTTTTCACCCTTCAATGTTTGAAATTGCTAACATGCCGATTGCCTTTCTAGGAAAGTATAGACCTGGGTGAAATCATGTTTTCCCTTTGTTACCTACCGACGGCTGGGCGTATGACATTGACAGTCATTAAGTGCAGAAATCTGAAGGCGATGGATATTACTGGCTCATCAGGTATGTACACAATGGCCACAGGACCAAGGGCACAATCTCAAATGAAATATTTCATGTATCTAAAAATGATACATGACTACTGAATTATTTGCCTATAATGGGAGTACTACAAAAGAAAAAAAAAGATTACAAATTTAAATGTTCCAATTCATCTCTTTTATATATGTTATCATTATGAAATTTTTAAAAGGTGTTATCAAATAGATCTGAATTTGGGTTCTTGTTTCTGTTTCTTCCACTACCAATTTAGTACTGTCTCAAAAATACATAATTTACCATCTACTCCCCTACTTTCAGCTAGTCAGTTTTTATAAAGGAAGATTCTTAGGCTTAAGCGATGAGTGAGGCCATGTGAAGATATGTTTAGTCTGAATTTATTCCCCTCACCTGATCTGCAGGGAAATAGCCATGTTCCACGACTACCATTTGCATTTGCATTTTTTCCACCTAACTAAAAATTTGTGCATCTGTAGGGTCTGAAATAAATAATAAAATAAATTAATGCTTCTTGAAGATTCTGAAAGAAATTCTTGAAGGAAATTCTACTTGTGCTAACTTTGACAAAAAGATAAAGATACATCATGCTTCTTCATCCCTTTATTTAATTCACTGCAGTTCTGGGTAATTACTTAGAATTTAATACATAAACACTGGCACAGCTCTGTGGAAGAAAAATGATAAGGGAACAGTAGGGAGACTGGTAGGTATTTGTTGTAGTAAACAGAAATAAGAAATAGTGGTGGAAATAAAGGATGACATTTGGGGAAGATCTATAATTTGTGGTTTTGCAGAACAACAACAAAACCTAAATTTGCATCACAAAAAAAAACATAAGAGAACTGTAAGTTCTGGTGTGGAAATAGCTCCAGGATGTACAAGTGAATTTTAAAAAGGAGGTAAAAAATTAACATGAATATTATGCACCCTTCTGTGTAAGAATGGGGAAATTTGGAATATGTATTCATATTGCTAATATCTGTATTAAAAATACTGAAGTGATATACAAAAACTAAGGGATGAAGAGGGATGAAGACAAATGAGAGAGACACTACTTATTGTATATCTGTCTATCATGGATTTTTGAGCTATGTCATGATGTTCATTTTTTAAAATTTGCGATACATAGTGTGTATGTGAAAGTAGAACAAGTAAATTCTACATTAATTTTGGTGAAAAAGTCTTGGGTCAGTAAATGTTGAAGAATTTAAGATAAACAGTGTACTCTGCAAATTGTTTATTCTACTCCTTTTTACCATGTATGAAAAGAGATCAAATTTTGAGACAAGAAAACAACATCAAAGTTATAATTAAGTGCAAGATTACATTTTATTTATATGAAACTTTTCATCGGAGGAGCGCATGCTTTGAGAGCACCTCCTCATTAATCCTCACAACAGGGTTGTGAATCAACCAAAGACCCAGTAAATTATCCTTGTCACAAGCAGAGAAATGTAGTCAGAGACGTGACGGGAATTACAAAGGGTAATCTATGCCTCTCATTCTCACTGTTCATTAGAAGGCCTAGGCCTGTGGGCTCAAACACAAAGCTGTATCACAGAAATGAGCTTCTCCTTAGGACATACTTCATATTATTTAAAAATTTAAAAATAAATAGGAAACAGACATTAACATGACCCTGTTATCTTGTTTTCCTCTACATACCCTATTTCCAGCCACGAATACCTTGCTTCTTGATGGGAATACTTTGGAAATACACAGATACATATTTCAAGAGTCTAAGAAGCATTCACATGCTCAAATAAATTAATATTGCCATCATTTTGGTTTATTCTATGGAAATAAAATGTAATACTATGGAAATAGGAAAAAAGAAATATTGGTGCTACAGTTAGAGGATGGTCAGAATGAAAAAAAAATTGATAGCAAACACTGATTGTTTAACTATCTAGTGTACTCAACCCAATGTCAGTATCACCTCCCAAAACCGTGCCTGCTTTGAATAAAAGGTGCAAAAGTAAGGCTTGTTGGAAATTTTGTATAACCATCATATAATGTTCTATAATACTATAGCAGTTTTACAATTTAAGATGGTAAGGGTAATAGGATAGATGTCAAGTCAGCTGTAGCAGAACTTGTCAACAATTATCTGATCCCTTTGGCCTGTAAAAATGTAGCCCAACTAAATTTTTCCCCCGTAATTGGCATGATGTAGACAATGTCATATCAGGAGGCTTCTTTTTGTGTGGCCATCTTTAAACCAAATATCCCCCCTTTTATCATTTACTGTTGTGCATGCAATAAATCACTTGTAAGTATCATTTTTTTCCATCCAAGTTCCTTATCAAGCAAATGATATTTTTAATTTTAGGTCCTTTTCCAGTAATTGAAGAAAATTCCAAGTATAGCTTTCGCTTTCTAATTTCTGCTTATTGTGATCATCTCTATCTGTCTAGGTACAGAGTTGCTAAGTCTTTCACAAGTTTTGATCTTCTTACTCTAGACCATTTTGAAAGAAACTAACCTTACTACAATTACTCTTTTTTTTGGAGACAAATTTAAAATTGGTAATACTAAAGGTCTTAATATAGGCCTTAGTACTATAGGTCTTATTTAGTAAAAATAAACTGCAGTTTTATTTATGCTTTGTACTATTACTTTTATTTTAATAAAGTTATCTTCTTATTCCTAGATCCTTATGTCAAAGTGTCCCTGATGTGTGAAGGTCGAAGATTAAAAAAGAGGAAAACAACTACAAAGAAAAACACTCTAAACCCTGTGTACAATGAGGCCATTATTTTTGACATCCCTCCAGAGAACGTGGACCAGGTCAGCCTCTCCATTGCGGTCATGGATTACGATAGGTATGTGTATCTCTCTTCTCACTGAAGAGCAGCCATGTCTAGTCATGCGCAGGCCAAACTCAGCTTTTCAGGTCATTTACTGCCACAACAGTTTTAATTTAAATTGGAGGAGGGAATAATGATTCCTTGAAAATTCATTGTTTTCTGTGTTATAGTTCTGGATTTTCATTTCCAAAAGAAGTCATCTTTAAATTAAAATTCACCGGGGACTGGTGAAAGAATGGGTCCAGAAGTAGTATAGAACATATTCAAGAAAGCACTATTGTGGAGTCTTTTTATAGTAACAACAGAGATTACAATCAACAGAATTTGTTTTACCAACTAGGCTGGAATATGAATATCATGATGCTTACCCGAGTTCTATCATTAACTAGCTGCATGAGAGGACATGTTACATAATCACTTTGAGAATCACTTTTCCCATTTGTAAAACTTAAGCATCATACAGAACTGTGAACAACGAGGAGTAAGAGTGGAAAGTGAATAAGTAGTCATAAGGATACAGCTTTGATGCCTTCACATCAATCTTAAAGCATTGCTTTATGGATAGTTCTTCCAGATCACACTCTTTGAGTCACTCCTGCTTTCATGAAAACATTGCAACCTCCCCTATGCAGCTCTGAAGATCCTTCCCACTGCAGCTCTTACCTTTGCCCTCCCACTCTCCCCGTTGCCTGGACTGTCCTCCAGCTTTGTGTATCATGTCCCACCAACACCCCACAGCCTGGCTTATGTCAGCACCTCTGTAAGTCTTGCTTTGCTGACCAATCCTCTTCTTCCTCTGAACTCTTGTCCCATCAATGGTTTATGTCTCTTATTTGGGCCTTACTATATACTTCCTCTTATTATTTTGCCCTTTATATTTATAAAATCTTTGGAAATGAATACTTGTGTTTTTAACCTACAAAATTATCAACACATAAACAGTACCTTAGTATATTTATTTTGTTCTAAAACGCACAAACACACGCTAAGTGTCCATTTTATAGTATCATCACCAGGACCCTGTAACTGAGAGATATTAATGTGCTCTCCTCTGGCTTAGAGCTAGGGGGGGAAACACTGAAAAATAACATTTGCAAGCACTGTCTACTAGAAATGAATTTATAATTTTTAAAAAATTTTAACTTGTGACTACTATTTAGAAAGAGAGAGCGAACTCTTGAATCCATTGAAATTTCAAACTAAAAAAGTTGCAGATGTTTTCATCAGGGGCCCTATTCTGCTTTGCCAATTACCCCTATTGATTTCTCACAGCAATAAGTGTAGGTAGATACAACTGAGCATTTGTCACTGGGGCAATTTTAGGGAAATGGATGCTAACAAGATATACACAGGAAGACAAAATTTTTGTACCTAAAAACATGCTTGTTTGGGAAATTTCATATTAAAGAAAATAATACTACATATACATATCTACATCAATGATGGAAAAAAAAGTAATGAAATTGTTCTAAAATCATCTCAAAAGTATCTTTGGAGATGTCTGTCAAAATTGAAACTCCTTTCAATGACATTCCATTCTTGAGAAGCAACTTAACCACAAGTGCTCTTGAGCCAACAACTCCTTTGATTCAGCTCCTGTCTCTGCCTCTTACTAAGTGTGTAAAGTCTGGCCAGCTCCTAATCTTCTGGGCATTTAGTTTATTCATAAAATGAGAGAATGATAATAATGATATTCATGGTCATGGTGGGGGAATTAATTGGGTCAGTACATTTAAACTACCTAGAACACTGGCACATAATAAGCTCTCAAAAATATTAACTGTTATTATTATCATCTTGATTCATTGCTATGAAAGCAGGACCTGAATAGAATATACAAATGTTGTCCAGTATGTTTTCTGTTATGCAAAAATAAATCACATGCCATGCAACTGAACATAATCCTGCCCTATTTAATTGTAATGCAAGTGGTAACACACTGAGGTATCATTTAGAGTCAATTAAAGAAAATTGGTACTGCTGTATTTCTTGGTGAGAAATCTAAACATCGTTATAAAACATTAAGCTTTGTGGAAAGAACAAGATTTGTTTTACATCACTTGTATTAAATAAGACTGCTTCCAAGAAAGACACTCATCATATAGGTAAAGACCTACTGGTATTTCTCATTCATGCCATTTTTATTATGATGAAATGTGCTTAAACTACAAAGCACTGAAATGGTTTGTGTGTGCCTCTTATACACATTCATTTTTTGAATGTTGATACTGTTTAGTAAATGTTGATTTACTTAAGAGATTTCATTCGGTCTGAAGTAGCATAATCTGCAAAATTACAGAATCTAATGTTTTAATCATATTTTTAAAATTCTACTACGATTTGTGAAACCCCCTTTATCTTTGAATGTTGGAAATGAAAATATAATATCCCACAAATCATAGGGTAGGACACAATGAGGTCATAGGAGTGTGCAGAACAGGACTGGATGCTGAGGGTCTTGGGCGAGACCACTGGAATGAAATGCTGGCCTATCATCGAAAACCAATAACGCACTGGCACCCATTGCTGGAGGTAAGCTTGTGAGTTCCTTACGTCTGCTCTTTTTGTTGTCTCTTTTGCTTAAATATTATTTATTTGCTAACCTTTATCTGATATTTTATGTATTCACCCTTGTTAAAAAAAATAGAAAAGATTGTTCTTGCTTTTGTCCCACATTGTCTAACATTTAATATTCAAAGTTCTGTGTGCCTTCCTGGATTTTAAAAAACACTACATTTTCTGGGCTTCATATTCTTTTGGACAGTAAGCCATTTGCAAGTCTCTTTTTTTTTTTTTTTTTTTTTTTTTTTTTTTGCATAGCCTGAAAACTTACATCAGTGAGTGCTGGAGCAATCTAATAAGTTTATTACTAACTGGAAACTGCATTTTTGTCCTTCTCTTCTGTAAAAAACAGCCACCTTACCTAAAGTGTTCCACAATCCCTAAATAAAGGTGCTGTCACCTAATATAACTTTTCTGCGTAAGGGGAAAGATATGTCTCCCTCAGCTCTGGTCAGGAAGTAAAACTGCCCACAGGTTTTTAAAATATTGGGGTGTCAGTTTAGTCGAGTTCAAGGCCTGGCTCTGCTGTGTGACTGCTTATTGTGAAACCTCGGGCAAGTTACTTTACCCTCTGTGTTTCTGCTATGACTCTGAAATAGTGGTAAACTCAGAGTAAAACTAAAGAAATGATGAATATTAAGTGCTTAGTGCTTCTTGTTCTGGCACTAGGGACTGGATTGAATGGGAGAGGCTGTGCAGTATCCCATTGACTAAATATCAGTGGGACGAGGTTCTAATCTCAGTTTAGTCACAAAAAAAGTGACCTTGGCTTTGTTACTCAGGACGTGTTAAGGGAAATAGGATGAACACCAAATGAGCATTGCATGCTCACACAGGTGAACTGTCATCGTCAATATCTGTTTATATGTGAATGCGTCAAGTCTTTATCTGACTTCATAATTTAGTATAAATCATAAAAGACAGACACACACACACACAAATGCATCTACAAACACACACACACACACACACACACACACACACACAGATACCCAGTCACTTGGTGTTTTCCCCTAGAACTTTATAAGTATAGACGTGTATTCTCTGAGTAGCTCACGGCTTGGAAAGTTATTATTTGTTTCAACAGTGGATGTTGTCTAAAGTACACTTTACTGCTTATTGTATAATTAGTATTCTTTTCCTGGTTCTGATCTTTTCTTAAGTATGAAAAGTGAACATTAATTCTAAAAATCTAAAAAGGAGAGTAAAGCCATGTTGGGCAGGAACTCACTCTGAATGGAGAGGTGGATTCTAATTTTGTTTCTCTGGCTGTCTACTTCTGAGCAGCCTGTTCACTACGTCTCCAACTACACTTCTCCATATTTAACAAAAATAGAACTGCATGCCTCTACCGGCTTCACAGGGATGATGCAGGGAGAAGTGAGATAATGTGAGCAAGAACTCTCAAGGAATGAGAGAAAGGTGCTTTATGACCCAAGGCATATTAATTATTTATTAGTGCTTAGTAAGCAGCTTTACTTTTCTCTGATGAAGGGGAATTATGTAATAGGCACATGTTTGTGTTTGAGAATGTGTAGACACTTTTTTGTCGTAACTGAATATACAGGAAGATAAGCTACAATATAGTCATCAGAAAAAGATCCCAGATAGTTATTGAGAACAAGATTGTGTAAATGTACATTCTCCAGCAAAATAGCTCCTTTTAACCCCTGCTCCTACATTCACTAGTCAAACAGAATATACGGACTAGGGACCTAAGAACTAGCTGGATTGTGCATTATAGGAAAAATAAGTATATAATTATATATGTTATTGTCACAGAAAGCATAAATATGAGAAGGGAACAGTTATTTGAGAGTTGTGTCCATTGGTACAACAAAGACTAAAGTATCATGTAGAAAATCGGGTTCCTCAACCGGGTGCGGTGGCTCACGACTGTAATCCCAGCACTTTGGGAGGCTGAGGCGGGTGGATCACTTGAGGTCAGGAGTTCAAGACCAGCCTGGCCAACATGGTGAAACCCCGTCTCTACTAAAAATACAAAAATTAGCCGGGCTTGGTGGCAGGCGCCTGTAATCCAAGCTACTTGGGAGGCTGAGGCAGGAGAATTGCTTAAACCCAGGAGGCGGAGGTTGCAGTGAGCTGAGATCTCACCACTACACTCCAGCCTGGGCAACAACAGTGAGACTCCATCTCAAAAAAAAAAAAAAAGAAAAAGAAAAAGAAAATCAGGTTCCTTTTATCTAGATAATCATTTGTTTTGTTGTAATTAAACTTTGTAAATACATACAGGCATTTAAGGATTGTGAGAAAGTATCTCTGTCACTTGGGGCTCCCATCTGCCAAACGCAGTTCTCATCTCATTAACTGCCTTAAAGCAAGTGGAATGCAGTCTCTTGTGTTTAGAACCTCTTACTGCTCTTTCCTAGAAATCTTCCCTCACTAAAGTAAACCAGCCTGGCCAACATGGTGAAACCCGATCTCTACTAAAAATACAAAAATTAGCCGGGCGTGGTGGCGGGCGCCTGTAATCCAAGCTACTCGGGAGGCTGAGGCAAGAGAATCGCTTAAACCCAGGAGGCAGAGGTTGCAGTGAGCCGAGATGAATGGTTTACTAAAGTAAACCATTTATTTTTTATAGAAAAGAGCTAAAACCCTGTTGTAAAATTTGAAATTATTCTGCTGTCATAAATAGTTGTCTACACAGGGCTGCTCCATGTACATCTGTGTACCATGCTCTGCCTACATTCTATGAGACATCCATGTCCCTTCATGGTAGCAGAGAAGGTAAGTTCTGAAGGGCAAAGGGAGTTATGTATTTCCTTTCTTCAGAGATTCGCATATTATGGTTGAATATTCACTATTTAAAGGGAGCAACAACTAACCACTGTGTTCTATTTCTGTACTAGATCATACATTATGAAATTTTTGTCTTTCAGTTACCTGGCCGGGCGACCAGTTTTGATAGTCAAGGATCCTGCCCTTCTCCTAAACCACCTTCCACACCATAATGCCTCCAAAATGAGACCATGATATTAAGCATCTAGGATCACGTGCTCATTGAATCAGAAAAAAAGTGGAAGGTTTGGTTTCCTCATTTGAAATATATCCGTACTAATGAACAAACTTGATGTGCACTTTTTTATTTGCTTTTATTGTTGATTTTTTAACTTTGAACATCAATACATTTTACTTGAATACATATAGTCCTTAGTTGCATAAGGCATTTTATCCTTCGTATCAAATGCCTGTTAGCACAAAGAGTGTTTTACTATGTTGTAATTCTTTGCATATGAAATGTTTTTTTAAACAGTTCATACTTACCTAAAATTAAATATAGTTTATGCTGCTATTGTATAAAGTAGCACATGTCATATATGTATGGGTTTGATTTTGTTATACTGTGTTCATTTCTAGTTGTGCAGGTGGTTCTGTATAAACTTAAAAGGAGATTTTGAACTTAACTTACACAACATTAAATCCTTGCACAATCAAATTAATGTTACTTATCTGATAATACTTTTCTTTCATTCTCAGAAAATTACTTTCTTGGTGAGGTTTGGCTCTGCTAAACTCAAAACTTGTCTCTCAAGCTTGTTCTTTAAAATACATAGACAAAGCTGTAAATTTAAAGAATCATTTTGAATATAAATTTAAGAAGTAATACTTATTGGCTGAAAAACGGAGGCTGAGCCATTGTGGCTACCATTTTACACTGTTTTACTGTAACATTAGCTCAAATATCTGTTGCACTGTTCAACTGATATTTTTAAAATTCTAATAATCTTCATCTCAAATGTAGCATTAGTATTTCTAAGTGAACAGAATCAGAAGTTAATTTTTAAGTGTTTGTAAGGTTCTCAAGTACTGTGACATGTATTTTTTTGTGACGTGTATTTTTTGTGACTTGAAGCTATCATATAGATCCTGTATTTCTGATAGACCATACTAACAGACACCAAAGGAACAACAACACTGTCTGTGTTCATCACCGTTTAGATTGTACACAGTAATGGTGACTCTTAAACCCAGTCAGAAGCTCATCATTGGAATTCAGTATTTTCTTAAAGAAAGGATGATTTATTTTCAGCAACATATAGAAATATACTATAAATATTAATAATACAACTTCAATGCTTAATAATAATAAACAAATTAATTCTAAAGGCCCAGGCCTCCAGTCCTTGCATGAAAGGCATTTGCCTTCATAAGGATCAAGGTTCAGGCCACTACATGTAAAAACTATGCAAGTGTTTTTACAAGACAGAACTTTCTTTTAAGTCAGGTCAACATATTTTGTCCCATTTTCAGGCCCTGTTGGAAGGTATCTATACTGAATTACCCCAACCTTACTTTTAAGATGTGTGGTATAGATAGTATATATTTCAAGCTTATTTCAAAATTGGTGGTTTTTTTAAAAAAAGAGGCAAGAAAATAAAAACATATTTACCTGGATGAGAAAATTTTATCAGCGGTTATGAAATTTTTATTTTTGTAAAATCCCATTATTTCTAAATATTAAAAAAAAGTTTTAAAAGCCTTGAAATTTTGTTGACATCTCTTATAGTGATGGCATTACTGTTAATTAAGAGGTAAATATTTTGCACATTACCATTTTAAAGGCAAACACAGTTCTGCCTCAGATTTTTCAAAAATGCTTATACCACCCTAAGGAAAACAGGTACTCCTAGCTAACATTTTCTCATTGAAAATAATAGAAGAAAGCTGTTTGGAAACATTTGGCTACCTTGTCGAGCCTAAAAGAATTATTTGCTATAGGTAAAATGAAAGATGACACTTGCATTTTGAAATTATTTGTTTTATTGGGAAATAAAACTTTTCAAATAGGAAGACAAAAAGTTATACTATTAATAGAATGACATTTTTGGAGACAGTTGTTTTATTAGTAGATATAACTGCAGCTTAAAGTAAATTAGCAATTACGTTTCCTAAGTGAGTATAATTATTTTCACCCAAAAACACATTTTTAAGGACTTTTTGTTGATTCTTAGAAACTCGCTTTTCTTTACTCCCTAAGGAGAAAAAGCCAATGCTTGTGATGAAAAAATGTGAACCATTGGCCAATCAGAAGACTCTAATATGGGAATTGTAGATTAAAATAAGTTTTAAAAGAATTTTTTAAATGTTTCCTTGAAGTTAGAATAAACTCATCATGCAAGGATATGTGTTAATCCTGAGAAAGAGATCAGCGAGAGGAAATTCACCACAACTCATCTTTCATGTAATTCAGGAGGTAGGTTTATGCTCAGATTAATAAGGCATGATTGTTAAAAATGACAGTTCATATTATTAAAATGTAATCCTAACAATTTTAATACAACACACCCTCACTCTACACAGCCCACACATTCATATACACATAACTTACCATCTTTCTGCTTGTAATTGAAGATGAAATATTTTCAGTTTCAGTATTTAAAATAAGATTTGATATTACAAATCCCCTTATTTGTGTGGGACATCACATTTTAATGACAGTACTGACACATTATGAAGCTGCAGTTCAGGTATATAATGAACATCTAATTTCAGGGACTTCTTCAGGGACTTACCAAATATCAGTCTAGGAAAAAAAAGAGTAAGGGTTGATTCATTAGCATAATAACATTGATATTCTTTTTAGTTTTAGGGGAGGAATTTGTTGTTGTTTTTAACTGATTAACCAGGCAATCGGGCGATGAGGGAATTGAATATGAAAAGAACACTCATGTTTGTGGAGTATATCTTTTCATAAAACTCAGAACATTGTTTTTTTCACACTGGTTTCCTAATAATATTTTTCCCAACAATTGTTTTTGTCAGGCCAACCCTGTGTTTCTGATACTTCATTTAACATGTAAAAATTTCCATACTGAATATATTCACAGTTCAGCAACAAATATCATGAGGACTAGTGCTAGGGGAATAAAGACAGGAAAGCAGAGCCAAGCACTCACTTTCTTATGCAGTTTTGGGAAGTGTGTGCACGTTGTAGTTACTGCAGGGAGATCACAACTGATCAATACTGACTCAGGTTTTTGATAAATAAAAGCAAATATATTTGAACCTATTTGGTGGTGATATTTAATTGACATTCCCAACTGTGTTTATTCTCCTCTAATGTTTATTATTTTAAAATTTTGCAACTCAATAAAGAGCTATCAATCTCCTAAAGAATTCATTTAAAGATTAATTACTGGAAAATTGAAAAAGCCAAACTTCCAAACCTGTGGTCAACTTTTACTATCCATAAAAAAATATGTAACTTATTTGAGGATCAGTTACCAAAAGAGCCAAAGACTATTACAAATAAAGGAACACTAAATCTTAACATTGAACGTGCGGTAATTTCTTTACCCCCTCAAAAAGAGTACTTGAAATTATTTAAGAACGTATATTTTTATAGAATTTCGTCTGATTCTTTTTGCCACCTTAGTTGTAATACTTACCAGGTAATTTAATTGCCTGATAATAAAAAACACCTGGAGTTGTTCAGGATTTGAGAACATCATTTGACCTCTACTAAATAAAAAGAAAATGCAGACTTTTCTTCACTTGTTCTTGAAGCTACTCTAGTTGTTTTGAGGTACACTACTTGATCTAAATTTTTATAAACTTTAGGCTAAAAATGTATTGGTGTCAATGAGAAATGATTCAAAGAATGAAAGTAAAATAATTAAATGACAGTTGAGCAAAGAAGTTAAAGCATATGGAAATATGATATTGAGATGCAAAATCAAAAGACATGTGTTTTAACTTTTAGAGAAATGTATATGATTTAATATTGTTCCCAAAAAACCTATGACAGAGCATTTAATCGTTAACTCAGTGACATGGCTCAGGATATGATTCATCTGAACCTGCTGTAAAGACCCATTATTTCGAAGAAAAGAATGAGTTTATATTTTATATGAGAAACAGCTAATTAAACTAAAAGTTGTTTCCAATACATTATTCAGTGACACCCTTTTAGGTAAGAATTTTATGTTTTATTACTTAATATTCTGTTAATTAAAGTGAACGGTAATTTCATAAAAGATGTATTAGTAATTAGTTGTCATCTACCATTAACAGTTAACCAAAAAGATGTGTATTTGAACAGTGGCAGTTAATTAATACTCAGTTCAAGTGTCTTCTCATCAAAGTAAAAGGTTATTTTCACTTTCATCCTGTTCATCATAAGAAAGCAGGGTATGATTCGGTGGCACAACAACATCATGCTACAGAGACTTAGAAAAATCAAGCACTAAATTAAAGGCTGAAGTGGAAGTGTGACTTAACAGTCTACTGAATGCAAACATTTTGAATACTAGAAGTGGTGATTGAAAAATAAGTAGACAACGTTTAAGAGAAAGGGTAGCATTTTTCATGCCTGAAATGATTTAAACATATTCCTGCCAGGAGGAATTATTAGGATGATTCTATGCTGAGACACTAGAAATGACTTGCTATTGATAGATACATTTGTATGGAAATATTTTTATCTCAAACTGACAATAATTTCTTCTAAACTCACCTGTACCATGAGAGCCCTCTCCAAAGAGCAAAGTTATGCCTGATCTTTTCAGGCATAGGGTAAAAATAAGCCACTTTCTCCTGAAATTTTGCTGTAAGAGTAATCTGTTATATGTATACAGATCCCCTTATTTACTGCACAGTGTGGTGGATTTCAGTTATTCAATTTCATGTTTTTGTTCCCTCAAAAATAATTTATTAGATATTAATGAATATTATAGATATAAGCCAAAAGTGTTAAGAGAAATAAATCTCAATGTTGGAAGGTTAATGCATTTCAGATGTTTATTTCATCATCTCTTTCAAAATTGTTTTTTTTTAATTGTCCTAATCTGAGCATCAATATATGAATTACATTCGGCTATGATTTTTCCATGGAATAAAGTTGGTGGACCCAAAACAACCTATAATCCCTAGGTTATGTACAAACTGGTCATTAAATTATTCTGTACAAAAATTGCATGATTTGTTCTATTTATATTTTTATAGATCATTTTGTGAGTTTCATTATAATTTTTGTTTTTCTTTAAAAATACCCTTGAAGCTTTCCACTTAAAGAACATAGTAATCTCCAGTGTGAATAACTTCATAAATTTTATCACTGTATAAATAAGAAGCAGGTAGACCAACTCTAATATACAAAATATTTGCATTTATAGTTTGTTTTATAGACAAAAAGTCCAGCCCAAGTGGTGCCATTCACATTAACTTGTTATTGACCTTTCCAACGGAAAGAAGTGATTGGATTCACCTGCAAAATATGGAGAAATTATGGACAATGAAGCAAAACCTTTATTTCAGGAAAAAGAAGTCAAAGTCGAAAAGAACTGCCTCACATTGTAAATGTGATGAGTCCAAGATGTTGCCAATTATTCTAAACTGCCAGGAACCACTAAAATTCATCATTTCACATACAACATCAAATTATTTGGATCCATTATATCTGATTTGTTTGTACCTTTAGTCTTTGTTCATAAGGTGATTTTTCAGCTGAATTTTGTGATTTAATACTTGGCCATTGTTCAAATCAATATCTTTGATTTCCATATTATAGAACAGAAATTTTAAAATCTTTTGAAATTCGTGTTTCTGGCTTTTGTACATGGTAAACAGTCATTTGTGAAACTTGACAGCATACAATTGTATTACTTAGAACAAATGTTTTTGCAACCACGTTTGAAAGATGTTACACAATGCAGTATTTTTACAATGTCTTCTTTAGAATGTGTGACTATATTTGTCAGGTTCAGATGAATTATGTAACAATTAAACCTCAAAGCTGTTATGAAGTATACAGTTTATGATTACTTTTGTAAAAGAAAATGGAAAGCATTTGAAATATAATTTTACTCTGTTTCATATGTACTTTGAAAAAGAAATAAAGTATTATAAATTATTTTTGTCTGTGTTTATAGAAAATATCTTTTCCAGATTTAATTTTGTGACCTTTATATTATTAAGGTTTTCTTTAATAGACATTATTTGTGGCACTCATTAGTAGTGCAGAATGACATATTTATTAATAATCCAATAATTCAGGCACTGAATATATGTTAAAGGTCTTCTGTAATATATTCCATTTTTATCACAAAATTATTCTTTAAATTTTTTGATTATTTCCTTAAGAAGCAATGAAACAAGCATGAGTCAAGTGTTAAAAGCGGCAAATGCCATTTACACACATTAGCTAAATTTGTTTTACCCCCCCCCAAAAAAATTCCAAGCCCCTAGAAATACCTTAGCAGGTGATTCAGCAGTTGGGGTGTATCAGATATTTTGCTGGGTCATTTGTCTTCTTGTGCTTTGCCTCCAATTTTCAAAATATTTTCATCAAGAGTACAGGCATAGCTACTAGTTTTAGACAGTAAACAAGGCACTGACTCACAAAGAAAATCATAACTGTTTGCAAATCAGATGTTCTGTACCTAGAGTCATTGTTTATTTAAAATATATATATATATATATGTAAGGCCAGGCGTGGTAGCTCATGCCTGTAATCCCAGCACTTTGGGAGGCTGAGGCAGGTGGATCACCTGAGGTCAGGAGTTCAAGACCAGCCTGGCCAACATGGTGAAACCCCGTCTCTACTAAAACTACAAAAAATTAGCCAGGCATAGTGGTGGACGCCTGTATTCCCAACTACTTGGGAGGCTGAGGCAGGAGAATCACTTGAACCCAGGAGGCGGAGGTTGCAGTGAGCCGAGATTGCACCACTGTACTCCAGCCTGGGCAACAAGAGCAAAGAGTGAAACTCCATCTCAAAAAAAGAAACAAACAAAAAAAATATATATATATGCCTCGTCCCAGAATGAGGCAGGATAAAAACTCAATGACCTGACCTGTCTGGCCTTGTTGAAATCCCTATATTCAAACAGTATGAAGAGCCTGAATGAAATCTAAGTTGCCGTTTTAAAAAAGTAGCCAGATTGCCACTTTAAAAAATTTTCTTAGTAGTATTCCCAAATTTCTCCCCAGGAAGTGTTCATATTCACACTGGTTTAAAGTTTATATTCCCACTAACAATATATGAGAGCTTCCAAGTACCCTCATCCACAATTGCCATTATTATTTGAATCTGCCAATTTGAACATGAAAAAAAGTTTTAATTTCTATTTCCTTTTTTTCTAGAGGGATTGGTCATATTTTACATAAGGATTGGCAATTTGGATTTCATTAAGTCTTTTCCCATTCTTCCATTAGGATTTTCTTCCTTATTTATTTTTAGAGGTTTTTATTTTGTTTTTTTAATGCAGATAAATTTTCCATATACGCATATCTCAAACTAATCATTCTTCAAAGCAGATGTCAAAATATTAGGTTATAATCTATAAAGGACATTTATACAATATATATAAATAAAAAGTACATATCGAAATATATGTGTGATGAAATGTAAAGCAAAGTTTAAACAAAATTATCTTCCCCTGAAAAGCACAAGTTCTTATCCTGGCAATTTCCAGGATGATTTCGACTGTCACCCACCAGTGTGTCTGAAAGAAGCAGAAAAAAATCCTTTTCATGGATAACCCATTATTTATGCTGTTGCTTAAAAATCCCTTGTTGTGCTAAATTTGAATAGTTTTGATTCTATCCCCTTGTACAGTGACAGAGAATGGAGTAAAGTTGTATCCGGTAATGTCCACAGAGAATAAAACCAAAAATCTAAACAGAAACCACGAATAGGACACTTGACAAGCAGTTTCCATTTTCATGCTATAGTTAGAATTAAAAAAAATTTCTCCAAGTGAAAAAAAATCATCCAAGTTCCAACTATGAGTATAAATTATGTGAACAGAAATGAATTCATTCCCACTAGGAATGCATTTAGTGAGTCTGATTAGGTTGTGTGCATTTTCATGAGCAAGTAAATTTTTTATGAATTTTAGAACATACATGAGTAAAAAACTTACTTTAAATGGGAAGCTAGACCTGAGTCAATAACAGAAACTCAACCCAAAAAGTGAAGGAGCTAATAGATAAAAATCACACCGAGAACACAAGGCACAAACAGGCCACAAACTCCAGGAGGAATAGAACAGCTTGTGGTCTATGTAAATGGTGCTTCCAGGAACACAACTCTAACAACCTCTAATTAGTAAATAACAAGGCATAAGTAGCACTAATAGGTGCAAAGTTAACCAGAAGTTAAAATTGAAAACTAGAGTTGAGAATTAAAGGAGAAATTGTTTTTTATTGGACATGTCACCTAAAACATACAGAATACATGCTATGCACCAAGCACTGTGCTCATTACCTCTCATATTCCTAATCTCTGTGTACAAAATGTCTGTGATGTATTATTGTGACTTTTTTTTTTTTTTTTTTTTGAGACGGAGTCTCGCTCTATCGCCTAGGCTGGAGTGCAGTGGTGTGATCTCAGCTCACTGCAAACTCTGCCTACCGGGTTCACGCCATTCTCCTGCCTCAGCCTCCCGGGTAGCTGGGACTACAGGTGCCCGCCACCACGCCTGGCTAATTTTTTGTATTTTTAGTAGAGATGGGGTTTCACAGTGTTAGCCGGGATGGTCTCCATCTCCTGACCTCGTGATCTGCCCGCCTCGGCCTCCCAAAGTGCTGGGATTACAGGCGTGAGCCACTGCGCCGGCCTACTGTGAACATTTTAAAGATGGAGGAATTGAGGCTCAGATTGATTAAGTGGATACACCTGTAGTTAACGGCAGAGCACAACAACCTTGCAAATATGGCTAACTCATTCCTAAATCAGGGTTTTTATTCTCTACAAGGCATGAAATATAACAACTCATACTGATACAATTTTAAAATACTTTCACATATACTGTTTCTTAATTCTTATCACAAGGCATGTGGATTTCATCACACCCATTTAACAGATAAGCTAATCATGGTTAACAGAGATCAAATGAAAGCCCAAGGTCTTGTAGTAGACTATGGAGCTGGGCCTCAAATCTAGGTCTTTGGCCCTCAAACTACATGCACATTTTATGACCTGTTGCTTTTTAGTTGCCTTCAAACTATGAAACAAAATAAGAATTAAAGGTAATTTGCCTCTTTAGATAAATCACTAAGATGAAAGTTATATAAACCTCATTAACACTTAAATCTACTCATCTATAAATTGAGATTAGTTATTTCTGCCTGACCTACCACTTAATGTATGTGCCATCTTGTAATATGTAAAATATTCTGCAAAACTATAGTTGGTACTAGTTTTTGTACTGACTTCATTCCCATCATTAATAGGAAGAACCCATAGACGGGATATTTTTTAAAGTCATAAGATGGGTGTTTGTGCAGATGAAGTAACTAAGAAGGGAATAAATGCCAAATTGACCCTGACCTGAAAAAAAAAAAAAAAAGCAATGAAGAGTAGAGAAGGAGCCTAGTCAATAGGCTCAAGTTCTATAGACTCCTGTTAATCATATTCAATTTAAAAAAATCTCTCCCACTGCCACTACCATAGCTCAGTCCATGAAACCTATTTTCTGCATTTTATAAATTTTGCTAATTGGTTTACAAATCTCTAGATTCTCTTAAAGGCCACTCACTCTCCACTATACAGCTCCATCTCCAGAAAATGCATCTCTGAACATCCCATACTTTTACTCAAAAACCCTACATGATATTAAAAAAGAAAAAAGAGTGATAGTGGAACAACTGGAAATCCATAAGAAAATAAAATTTGACCCCTACCTCTTATCAAACATAAAAATTAACTTCATCTACATCACACTTAAATGGATATCTTAAGCTTATAAATCTTCTGGATGAAAAAGCAAGGTATCTTTGTGACCTTGGAGTAGGCACACCTGGCCAAAACTTTCTAGTTTCTTAGAACTGACCAAAGACAATTATAGAAACACACAAAAGTAAAGATTTAAATTTCCTCCAAATGGACTGCAAAACAACTCAGAGTTTCAAAGCAAGTTTAATCAAAACTGCAACAAGTTTTCTGTTTGTTTGTTTTTTGTTTTAATGGAAACTAACAAGCTGATTCTTAAATGCATATGGAAAAGCAAAGGTCTATGAGCAGACATTCTGCTGAAAATGAAGAAGAGGAGTTGAGATTTCACCTAAGAAAAAAAAAATCGTCTTATCCTGAAGCTATAGTCATCAAAACAGTGTGGTACCATATGAAGTTAGGCAAAACAGTGTGGTACAGTATGAAGTTAGGCAAATTGACAAACAGAGTAAAAACATGCCACATAGATATGGAAATTAGATATATAACAGAGGGGACATATTAAGCTGTGAGAAAACAATGGAACTATTTAATAACTGCAGGTTTTAAAGATGGGAAAAATATAAACATGATCCTCTTTTCAGTCTACATACTAAATTCAACTTCGAGTGGCATTCAAATGTCAAGTTAAATTTTTCAAAATTCTATTGTAAAGTATAAATAAGTTAGAAAGAGGAAATGGTTTCTAAAGACACAAAATGTATTCTACATTGAAAAAGGTGATGAATACTGTTACATTAAATAAACAACTTGTCATCATCAAAACAAACATTTAGAGTAAAAAAGCAGCCAGATGTGGTGGCTTAGGCCTGTAGTCCCAGCTACTCAGGAGGCTAAGGAGAGGATTGCTTGAGCCCAGGAGTTGAGGATGCAGTGAGCTATGATCATGCCACTGCACTCCAGCCTGGGCAACATATTGAGACTCCCATCTCTAAAAAATTAAAAATTAAAAAAAATTTAAAAACAAAAAAAGGATGAAAACAAGCTACAAATTGAGGATAAGATATTAACAACTCATATAACTAATAAAGAGTCCATAGCATGTTATGTAAACAAATCTTACAAATCAATAAGGAGAGCTTAAGTAACCCAGTATAAAGTAAGCAAAAAACATGAAAGGTTTTAACAGAGGAGGGAATGCTTATGGGCAGCAAACACATAAAGAAGTACTCCATCTCATTACGAATCAAGGAAATGCAAATCAGGGTTATAATGAGAACAATACATAATATTAATTGACAATGTCACAAAGTCTCACAACACTAACTCCAAAAAGGTGGTAAACCAATAGACTTTCTAATACATTTCTATTAGGAGAGTGATATTAAGAAAACAATTTGGAAGTATCTATTAAACTTTCACATATACGGGAAGGAGCAATTCCACTCCCAAGTCTATACCCAGAGAAAACTTCAACCATGTGGATTAGGAGATACATACCAAATTTTAATAGGAAAACTGCACAAAATCAAGGAGGGGAGAGAAGAAATGACTCACATGCCAATAAAAAGAGTGATGGATAAAGAAAGTGTGGTATATTTAACAACAAAATATTAAACAATAGTGGAATCACTTAATTATTTCTACCTACAACATGGATAAATCTTAATTTAAACTCTTTTTTTTCTTTTTTCTTTTTTTTAAACAGAGTCTCACTCTGTCACCCAGGCTGGAGTGCAGTGGTGCGATTCTGGCTCACCACAACCTCCACCTTCTGGGTTCAAGCAATTCACTTGCCTCAGCCTCCCGAGTACCTGGGATTATAGGTGTCCACCACCACACCTGGCTAATTTTTTGTATTTTTAGTAGAGATGGGGTTTCTCCATGTTCACCAGGCTGGTCTCAAACTCCTGACCTCAAGTTATCCGCCCACCTCAGCCTTTCAAAGTGCTGGGATTACAGGCATGAGCCACCATGCCTGGCCTTAATTTAAACTCTTAATAAATCTTAGAAAATGTTGACTGAAAACACTCCCTAAAGAATATGTATAGTTATACCTTTATACAATTTTTTTAAAATCTCTAAAGAATATTGTGTCACTGCAAACAAAAACTGTACATAAACTAATTTGAAAGAGCAAGAGAATAAAGACTGATAATAGAACAAGAATAGGCATATAAATCAATGGAAGAAAATTGAGAATTCAGGAAAAAACTTTCACATTTATGATCAATCATTTTTTAACATGGGCATCAAACAATTAAATAGGGAAACAATAATCTTTTCAACAAATGATGCTAGGATAATTAGATATTCACATCCAAATAAATGAAGTTGGACCCCTACCTCACACCATAAACAATAATTCATTCAAAGTGAATCAAAGACCTAAATGTAAAAACTAAAATGATAAAACTCTTAGAAGGATACATAAGCATAAATCTTCATGACCTTGAATTTGGCGATAATTTCAAAGAAATAATAGATAAATTGGACTTCATTAAAATTAAAATCATTTGTGCTTCAAAGGACACCATCAAGAAAGTGAAAAGACATCCCACCAAACGGGAGAAATTATATGTAAGTCATATATCTTATTAGAGACTTGTGTCTCGATATACAAAGAACCTCTGTAATTCAATAATAAAAAGACAAAGAATCCAATTTTAAAATGGGTAAGAGATCTGAAGAGACATTTCTCCAAAAAAGATACAAAAGACTAATAAGTACATGAAAAGATGTTCAGCATTATTAGTCACCAGGGAAATCAAAACCGCAATGAGTAGCTACTTCACAACCACTAAAATGCCTATAATTAAAAAGATAATAACAAGCATTGACATCTATATGGGGAAATTTGAAACCTCATAAATTGTTGGTAGGAATGTTACACATAAAGTTACATATGACCAGCAATTCCACTCCTAAATATATAACTTAGAGAAATAAAAACATATGTCCACCAAATAAAGTGTACATCAGCATTCCCTAATCTTTTTGGCACCAGGGACTGGTTTCGTGGAAAACAATTTTTCCACAGACTGGGATGGGAATGGTTTTAGGATGAAACCGTTTCACCTCAAATCATCAGGCATTAGACTCTCATTAGGAGGATGAAACCTAGATCCCTCACATGCGCAGTTAACAATAAGGTTTGAGCTCCTGTGAGAATCTAATGCTGCCACTGATCTGACAGGAGGTGGAGCTCAGGCAGCAATGCTCATTTGCCTGCTACTCACCTCTTGCTGTGCACCCTGGTTCCTAATAGGTCATGAATTGGTACCAGTCTGTACCCTGGGGGTTGGGGACTCCTGGTGTACATGAATGTTCATACCTTCATTATTGATAATAGTCAAAAAAAAAAAAAAGGAAACAATCTAAATGCCCAACAACTAATGAATGGATAACTCAAATATGGTATTTTCATGCAATGGAATATATTATTTAGAATAAAATACTGGGACATGCCACAACATGCAAAGCTTGAAAATATTATGCTAAGTGAAAGAAACTGATTACAAAAGTCAACATATTTTTAGGATTGTATTTATATGAAATACCATATACAGAATAGGCAAATCCATTGAGACAGGGTGTAAATTTGTGGTTGCCTGGGGTTGCAGTAGATGAGAAGATTGAGGATGACTGCAAAGGATATAGCGTTAACTTTTGAGGTGATAAAAATGCTCTAAAATTGATTGTGGTGATAGTTGTATAACCATGTTAATACAACACAAATTATATATATACATGTAAATTGTTTGCTATAAAAATTATATTTGAATAATGCTGTTATCAAAAACAGAACAAGAAAATGATAGACATAAAATTAAGGACAGAGTTTATTTGGAGATGGTAGCTGGAATGATAGAATGAAGATGAATAAATATATTCATACAAATAACTAGAATGGTCTAGATTTTTATTATTATTATTTTGAGACAGATTCTCGCTTTGTCACCCAGGCTGGAGTGCAGTGCCACGATGGCCTCACTGCAACCTCCGCCTCCCAAGTTTAAACGATTCTTTGTGCCTCAGTCTCCCAATTAGCTGGGATTACAGGCGTGTGCCACAGTATAGTTAATTATTAAGGTTTGAGTTCATGGTTGCTCTTTATATTAACAAATACATACATACACACTCTTATCTGCGTACATAAAATAAAAGAGGACTTTCTTTTTTTTTTTTTTTGAGACAGAGTCTTGCTCTGTCGCCCAGGCTGGAGTGCAGTGGCACGATCTTGGCTCACTGCAAGCTCTGCCTCCCGGGTTCATGCCATTCACCTGACTCAGCCTCCCGAGTAGCTGGGACTACAGGCACCCACCACCACCAGGCCTGGCTAAATTTTTTTTTTTTTTTTTTTGTATTTTTAGTAGAGACAGGGTTTCACCGTGTTAGCCAGGATGGTCTCGATCTCCTGACCTCGTGATCCGCCTGCCTCAGCCTCCCAAAGTGCTGGGATTACGGGCGTGAGCCACCGTGCCCAGCAAAAAGAGGACTTTCTTTACATTAATGAATGAAAATAATTCGTCTACAAACCAAACATTATGATGAACACAATTCTATAAAACTGAGGTCCATTTTTAATATAATTAACATCTACCTTGTTATATTTTATGTATCACATCTCAGTTTACAAAACTAGATCAGTGAATCAAATGTAGTTAATTAATTCTGTTAAAAAGAGAAAAAATGGGCCGGGCACGGTAGTTCACTCCTGTAATCCCAGCACTTTGAGAGGCCAAGGCAGGTGGATCACAAGGTCAAGAGATCAAGACCATCCTGGCCAACATGGTGAAACCCTGCCTCTACTAAAAATACAAAAATTAGCTGGTGTGGTGGCATGCACCTCTAGTCCTAGCTACTCAGGAGGCTGAGGCAGGAGAATCGCTTGAACCCGGGAGGCAGAGGTTGCAGTGAGCCGAGTTCATGCCACTGCACTCCAGCCTGGTGACAGAGCAAGACTCCATCAAAAAAAAAAAAAAGAGAGAGAGACAGAAATGTAATTTTACTACTTAAAATGATAAATGCAAAAATGAACAGGCATTGATCTCTAAAATCTCACTCACCCAAGATAAAGACAAACTGCATCCATGTTAATTCCCTGATTGTTCCTATCTACCCCATATTCATATTTCCTTTTAAATTTACCTGGTTCATTTTCATTTACCACTACAGTCTTTATAATGATATAAACTACGGGGAAAGGAAAGAAAGAGTGGTGATAGAAACATTGTTGGTCAAAAGCTGACACATAAAGACTGGCAGTGGAGTAGAGATTGGGAAGAGTGTTATTATTTTACATAACATTGTTTATAAGTAGTCTCACAAAATATTTAATTTTAAAATTTTTGTTTTGTTATTTATAATTCTTGTAACTTTGAAATATCAGAATTTTATGTTTACCTTTTGGGTTGTTTGGGTTTTGGTTTTTGATTTTGCAAAACTTCTCCTTACTCTCCTAAGTGTGTTTGCTTCCCTTTAATGCTTCTACTTTTGGAAAGAAAGAAGGGAATGACATTACTTTTACTTTGGAACTTTTATGGCAAAATTCCAAACCCTTCACGTGTGATATAGAAGTTTCAAGGAAAACATGAAATTCAAATCTGAAAGCCAATTTCAGCAAACCATTCCAATAGTCAGCCAAGCTTCATTTTTGCAACATTGTTTTATGTAATCCGCCATATACAATGATATACAATTCGATATAAGTTTTCAACAAACAATGTCATTTCCTACATGGTACACATTTGCCTTTTTCACAAATATTTTGGGAAACAAAATGCCTGCCATATCTCAGATGCATAGTGTTATATAAAAGGAGAAACCCTGTCTCTACTAAAAATACAAAATTAGCCGGACGTGGTGGCGCATGCTTGTAATCCCAGCTATTTGAGAGGCTGAGGCAGGAGAATCGCTTGAATCCGGGAGGCAGAGGCTGCGGTGAGCCGAGATTGCACCATTGCACTCCAGCTTGGGCAACAGGAGTGAAACTCTGTTTCAAAAAAAAAAAAAATGTAAAGTCTGGAACATTTTGGAATTATTTTACTCCTTACGAAGCCTCACCATTGTTCAATCCAAAACATGTATTTTCTACATCCCTACTAAAATGCAAACCTATGTAAGTGCCTTAAATATAAGCACAGATTTTATTTCAAATGAATGTTGATTTGTTAAAGACTCATTCTAAGAAACTATTGATACTGTTTTCAGCTGTCTTTTCAAAACAATAAAATTTAAGAATCTCTTTTTAAATAAATTTTTATATTCAGCTGTCTTACCTGAACTGACAGCTGTCATTTATTTGTACATCCATATTTCCATCAGAAACTACTAAATAAGCCAACAAGGATATAATTACCAATGTCATACAGCATTCTAATCCTTATAATCCTATTTTGAATTTGCACAATTTTGTAGGAACGGCTTATCAACTCATACATTGAAAAAATTCTCCTTTTATGGAGGGTATTCACAATAAAATATACTTTCTCTTTTTCTTTTGAGACAGAGTCTTGTTCTGTTGCTCAGGCTGGAGTGCAGTGACACAGTCACAACTCACTTCTGCCTCAACCTCACAAGTAGCTGGGACTTCAGGCAGGTGCCATCATGCCTTACTAATTTAAAAAAAAAAAAAAAACTGTAGAGATGTGGTCCTACTATATTGCCCAGGCTGGCCTCAAACTCCTGGGCTCAAGCAATCCCCCAGCGTTGGCCTCCCAAAATGCAGAGATCACAGGCCTGAGCCACCACATCTGGCCTATCTTTCTTAAATATAAACATGGTTGCCTGAATAAATATAGTCTGCTATTAATTTCAGGTGTGTTCTATTTGTTTAGCCTGTTGTAAGTGATTAGATAATTTCATTTTAATTGTAATTATATAATTGTAATTATTAGTAACGGTTCTATCATGAAATTGGCAATCAGTCCTTAATTACATCAATTTCTAATGTATTTAATGTCATATATTCTGAAATTTTTCAATGTTATTTTTGTTGTTATTGTGTTGTAAAAAACAGTTATAACAAAAGAACTCTACACAATGCTAAATTTGCATTCAACTATAAGAATAAGAAAATATATTTTTAAATGTGCAAGTGTTCAGAGTATAGCATACCCATATGCTAAATGCAAGATAATTGAAGAAGTAATTCAACAAAATGAGAAAAGAATAAAAAAACAAAGATTTTAATAATAGAAAAGTCATCATATAAAGAAACTGTCTCTACGAAATAAAACTACTGAAATAGAAATTGTTTGAATAAATACTAATTTACTACAAAATATAGTAGAAAAATCTTGAAAAAGAAAACATAATATAAAAAGTATGAAATGATAACATGAACTAAAATTTGAGATTTCCTCACCAAAAAAGCAGATACGAAATGAGTGAAGAGATGGAAGAAAAGAAAGGGGGTTGAATTTATTATAATACATGGGTGGCTAATTGGCACTAATATTTTTAAAAAATAATAGTTACACTATATTTACCTACAAGCATATATCTACAATGAAAACAATGAATATACTAAGTTAATAGAGGTTAAAAACAAAGTAGTCTAGATAGCAAAAAGAAAAAAACACAAAAAGAAGGAAAACAACAAGAAACCACTAAAAAAGTACACTGTATAAAAAGATAACATAGGATTAAATATTAGTTAATATAAACAAGTAGAAAACCCCACATATTTATAGCAAATACTATTAGATACACTGTATATATTTTCAACAATATGACTTTGCCAAAATAAATTATGACATACTGCATTTTAAAAATCACATTTTGGAAAATAATAGTATCGGAATATTATTTTATAGATTTTTAAGAGAAATTAAGATGGTAAAAATAACATTGTGCTTTTATGCTCACCCATGTAAAGACAGTGCTCCAGAAATTCTGTCCCCTTTCTCATATCATTATACTGTCTTTATTTACTGTTATTCCCAACACCACACAAGCACGATGTTACTTTTCCCATGCTAATTTCTCCCTTTCTGCATGCTTCAGTGTTCTTAGTGGAGAAGGAAGAATGCCAGTTGTGAAGGAAGGTCGCAAGGGAAGGATTCCAAGGATAAGAAAGGAGGGGGTAGGAAAATCTTCCAGGAAAATGAGACGGTGACCATCCAAGGGGAAGGCACTCCTCCTGCTAGGCAGAACTAAGGGTCTCTTTTTAGGCTTACGGAATGACTTTAAAGTGGGAACAGTCAGTATTGTTCTATGTTTTTCTCCTGTCATGCTCAGCTCCAGGGGTACTGGCACAAAGTTTTGGAATAGAAGAGAAAGAGGAAGTGAGCTGGAAAGATAGGAGATAGTGATCCAAGAGCAAAGTGCTTTAAATTGAGATGATAGAGAGGTTGCGTTTATTTGTATCTTCTATGAGGAGAGAAAACCATACCACCGTGAGTCACAATAAAGACATCACACTTACACTTTGTAAAATACAGTGAACAGACTGATTCAAAGTCATCTGTTTGTTTTTTCCATGGATGTTATTGAAAACCTATATAGGTGAATCCAATGGTCCCAGACCCTGGTACTATGAAGCTTACTTTGAGGGTAGGAAATAAATAGTAATAATCAATCATTCTAATCGAGATATGCAACTTTTTATTATATTCTATTACAGGAGGACTTAACCTAGTCTTGTAGAGAGCTTGGTCAGTGGAGGTTTCATTGGAGGAAAGGGTATCTTAGCGGGGCCAGGAAGAATGAAAAGGGTAAGCTAGTTGCTGGTATAGTGGTAAACAGAGAAAACTGCCCGTGCAAAGACGCTGAGTGCATTAGAAGAAATGAAAGATGGTGACTATGAGTGGAATAAAAAGATGCACGCACAGAGTGAGGAGCAGGTAGCACAAGATGAGGCTGGAGAGAAATAGGTAGGAGCCAGCCCATGTAGTCATATGACTACTAAGAAGATGGCCTTTCCAATAGGGGCAATGAGATGCCTGCAGACAGGAACATTTCAAGTTTACAGTTTTAAAGTTTTGAGTGACTAGATCAGAGGTGTGCAAGAGTGAGAGAGAGACAGAGAACACTGAAAGAGGGGTATTTATTTATTTATCTATTTATAGAGACAAGGTCTCACTCTGTCACCCTGGCTGGAGGGCAGTAGCATGATCATAGCTCACTGCAGCCAGCCTCGAACTCCTGGGCTCAAGGGATAGGAGGGGCACTTTTGATGGAGGAGAAGAGTTCAAAAGGTATTTTTCTACATACTGTGTTTGAAGTGACTGAGACATCTAAATGTCTATGTCAAGTAGATGAATATCAAAGTCCAAATCATTTGCTAAGAATAAGGGGGAAAGAAGGGAAGGGATTAGGTCTTTGTGGATAAAGAGTACAATTCTGAAGTAGTTATGAGAAAGCTGCATGAGTTAAGACTGGTGCTGAGGAGCTACAGCATAAAAATAAAACAATTATCCCAATAGGCTATTTAAGCCAACAAGAAATATAGACAGCTATGGCCTTTCAATGAAATGCATTGGGGATTTTAAAATGGAACAGTTGGGGATGAGAAAAGGTACAAGACACACCCATGGAAGTGAGAATGTCAGGTAGATGGGAGAACACCATTTGAGACAAGTGGTCAAGTCATTAATAGCCTGCATGGTTCACATGATCTGGCCTGGAGGTGAGTAAATGAGCAACTTCTGCTTGAGAATGCTGCAGGAGGAGGTCTGGTTAAGGCAAATATGTGGAAGAAGCTGAGACTATGTAAGAATTTCCTGATCATAGATCAGGAATACCAAATAGCACAGTGAAAGGGTTTAGGGAAGTGTAAGAGGAGTAAGAAACCAGATCAGTGGAGAGGAGCCCCAGGGCATTATGAGAAACACTCGGGAGTGGTTGGATGAATATAGGTCTGAGAATAGCAGGAATGCCAAGCAGCAGATTTTTACCCCAGTAGACTCTGGAGGGTGGTGGGCTCTCAGTTCCCCAGGGCTGCTGAAGTCTGGAAAGGATGCTTGGTTCTTTGCGATACGGCAGGGAGCATGCTTTCTTGATCTCTTGGGGTGACAGCTGTGGGAAGCTTCTGGGAAGCTTTTATTGTATTAAATTGCATTATCCAACAAGTTGAATTGTCCTTTAATTCTCTAAAATAGTTAACAGTTTTCTGGAAAAGAAGAAAGATTAATAGCTTTTAGTTACGGTTGGGAGCATGAGTCACTTCATCCCCAAGGACCACCCCTGTGCCCTGTGGGCAGATCTAAAAAACAAACTCTCCAGTGTAAAGTATGAATTTTTATTTTCTGCTACTTGATTTCACTTAACTTTGGATAAAGTGGTATGTACCTCCACCATAAATGGAGACTCTTCTGCTGAGGTATCATACAGTCTTCCATTAACCAATTCTTTTATTGTAAGTTGTTTTTGGTAAAAGTCAATTTGTGCAATCCATTTTGGCTAAATGAATCATGTGCATACTCTCATAAATTGTACCTATATCATGAAAGCAATGACTAAACACTTCAAAATCACTTTACGTAATGTGATTTTTTTCACTCTGGATATGAAAAGTTATATGAGTTAGGCTGTTAGATAACTGCTAACCTGCGTGTGGAGGGTACCAAACAAAGGCTATGCTCTGAGCTTCTCAAGGGAAGTAGCAACAAAAAAAACTTCAGCCAGATGTTTGTTACTTAACTGAACTTCTGCCCGAAACCTCTGCCTCATTTATACCTTAGCCAAAGTTTGGGACAATTTAGAGCCTTATCTCACAGCATATACAAACGTCAACTCAAAATAAATTAAAGACTTAAGACCTGAAACTGTAAAACTACTAGAAGAAAATATAGAGATAGAGGGAAAGCTCTATGACATTAGTCTTGGCAACAATTTTGTATACGGCCCCAAAAGCACAGACAACAAAAGCAAAAATAGTCAAATTGGATTACATCAAACTAAAAAGCTTCTGCGCAGCCAAGGAAATAATCAACAGAGTAAAGACACAAGCTACTGAATGAGAGAAACTATTTGCAAACAGTACGTCTGATAAAGGGTTAATATCCAAAATACATAAGGAATTCAGTAAGTCAATATCAAGAAAACAAAAAACCAATTTAAAAATGGGCAAAGGTCCTAAATAGACATTTGTCAAAAGATTTGCAGATGGACAACAGATATATGAAAAAAATGTTCAACATCACTAATCAGGGAAATGCAAATTAAAACCACAGTGAGATATCACTTAACACGTGTTAGAACGTCTATTATCAAAAAGACTAAAGAGAAGTTTTGACAAAAATGTGGAGAAAAAGCAACTCTTGTATCCTGTCGGTGAGAGTGTAAATTAGTGCCACCATTGTGGAAAACAGTATGGAGGTTCCCCCAAAAAACTAACAATAGAATTACCACGTGATGCAGCAATCCCACTTCTGGTATACATATATGAAAGAATTGGAATTGATATGTTGAAGATATATCTGCACTCCCATGTTCATTGTAGCATTATTCACAATAGCAAAGACATGGAAACCACTGAAGTAGCCATCAATGATTAAACAGATTTTTTTTAATGCCGTATATTCACAATGGAATACTATCCAGCCTTAAAAAAAAAAGTAAATCCTGTCATTTGTGACAACATGGATGAATGTAAAGGACATTATGTTGAGTGAAACAAGCCAGGCACTGAAAGACAAAGACCGCATGATCTCACCTGTATGTGGAATACAAAATAGCCAAACTCATAGAAGTAGAGAGTAGAATGATGTGTACCAGAGGCTGGGATTTGGGGAATGGTGGAGATGTTAGTGAAAGGACACAAATTTTCACTTAAACGGGAGGAATAAATTCAAGAGACCTATTGTACATTACGGTGACTATAGTTAATGACAATATATTTTGTACTTGAAAATTACTGGAGTCATTTTTGTGTTCTAACCACAAAAAAGATAAGTATGTGAGATAATGCATGTTAATTAGCTTGATTTAGCCATTTCACAATATGTGCATATATCTGAACACTATGCTGTATACCACAAATAGAATTTTTGTCTATTTGAACAATTTTTTTAAATTTTTAATTATTAAGATACAAAAGTCATGCAGGATGCTGAACAATTCTTTCTTGTGCAGACTGCCCTAAATATTGCAAAACATCTAGCATCCCTCATTCTTTCTCATTAAATGAGACAGGACTCTAACACCTGAAAATATGTAACCACTGATCTAATGACATTACTTCTTTCTCCATGGTTTAAGTCTGTGACATATCTGTAGTAGCACCTATTGGACACTGGTTCTCTAAATTCCTATTTAAGGAGCAAGAAAGTGGAGCTTATAACAATTTACATGCATGTGTATAGCAGGTGGCATAACAAGTATGAAAGAATAATATTTTTAGATATTTACCAATATGATCCCTTTTTCTTTCTTCCTCCTTGGAGTTAACTCCATCCCTTTCTTCTTCTGCTTGCCATAGTCAAAACAGCTGGATTTTCCATAATTATTTTCTCAGGGGAGAAATATAACAGAGGAAAACAGGAGTTTCTTCTTGGCCTTTTCATTTCAAAAGCTATGCTCTTTGAGGCATGGAGAGGACATAGTCAAATCGAGGAAGAACTTCATGGCACTTCAATTCCTATGAGACTACAAGTTTCTGTAGACTGGGTGGTAGGGGAGTTGAGTGCAGGATTAGAAGGCTGGCCACAAATAAATCATATGGTCAGGAATGAGGGATGATAAAGCAAAGGATCCTGCTGATGGAGCATTTTATCCAAGGACCTGGCAGTAGGGGAAGTCTGCCCTTCCCACTCTTCCAAGCGTCCTGCCCATCACCCATTCCCAGCAGTTAAGCTTCAGGCTGATTAGAGGGCTTCCCTTAGATCACAGCCAAATCTAAACAGTTACACATCACCCGACAGGCAATGCTTCTACCTATCCTGTATTGCTGCTTGGACCTCTACTGATATATTCCAACCACCACCAACTGACTTGCAGTCTTTGATATTAGACACATAATAGAATTAACGTTAAGGAAAGTCTCCGTAACTCATTTCAGATGGGGATGCAGTTGACGATCTTCCTGAGCTGCTGGATCATCTAACACATTTATTTTATGCTAGCAAAGTTGGAGCCAACTCCAGTGTGATGTCCCCTCAAACTCACCTAGACACAAACCAAGATGTACTCCTCATTCTCCTTTTGGCAGAGAAAATGGCTTGGCTATTCAAGGATGAGGTAGTTGCACTGTTCCTTTACTGGCATAGTGAGTATATCAGTCTGGTTAGGCTGACATGACAAAATACTTTACCACAAACTGGATGGCTGAAACAATAGACATTTATTTTCTCACAGTTCTAGAGACTACAAGTCCAAGGAGCAAGGTAGCAGCAGGGTCGGTTTCGGGGTGGGCCTTTCCTCTTGGCTTTCAGACTGCTGCCTCCTCCCTGTGTCCTCACGTGGCCTTTCCTCTGTGCTTGTGCAGAGAAATAGACTCCTGGTGTCTCTTCCTCTTCTTATAGACAAAGGACATCAGTTCTAATGGATTTGTGCTCCAACTTGAGACCTCATTTAACCTCAATTACCTCCTTAAAGGCCCTATCTCCAACTATAATCACAATGGGGGTTAGGGCCTCAACATATGAATTTAGGGGAGAGGGAACTCAATTCAGTTCATAGAACTGAGTATTAGGTTTAGGTTCAGGAAGGGAGCTGACAGCCCATACATATGTATCATCCAGTCTCTGTCTTTCCTGTGGTCTTATTCTCCCTGTTTCTCTCTGTCTTTATATCTCTGTCTATCTCTAGCTCTATCCTCTTTCTCTCTTCCTATTTTTTATTTTCTTTCTTAGCTGCACTACAATACCAGGAAGGGTCTTTAGCTCCTGAAATTTTGGTTAAAAAAAAAAAAGCAAAATTCAAGAGCCTAAAATATTGGTTTCCTGACTACCCAGAAGACACTGGATCTGTAATATCTCTATTCAATTCCAAAAATCTCCTCTTGTTTGCAGCTACTTGAAGTCAGATGTGTGCTACAAGCAGACAATGGCAACATCAGATGTTAAATCTTATCTGTGTCATATTTCACCATATTATGTTGTTGCTTTTCTCCAACATTACAAAAAATGTTTCAGATATCAGTACCCGAGAACAATCTTGGTCACATGTCCAGCTGTATTTTATTATCCAGTTCAGAACATTTTGTCTGTCTATTCTGAATCACAAAGTGACCTTACCAGTTAACCTCCTATTATTGACACAAAATCTAAATAACTTCCAGAGCTATGGCTGTGTCCACACATGGAGCAAAATTGAACATCACTGAACTTGGTCTAATTCACTTGGTATAAATCACCTCAGCAAGCCCATCCATTTCTAAGAAAAACAAGAAACTTAAAACCCTACAGCGCTCAAGAGAACTCTATACATATCACAAAGAGTTTGTCCAACAAAATTTGAGGGTTAGACAAAGATCTGCAGTCCTAGGTGAAAGGAGCTGGCATATCTTTTGATGGATACTAACCTCTCCTCTACTGTGTCCTCTGCTCTTCCTTCTTCACCCACCCATTAACTTAACTCCTATACTCTAAGGCCAATCAAAATCTCACACCCCTCCATTAATGCCTCTATAGGATTCCAGCATACAGAATATTTTTAATTTTGCTGTTTTTATGCTATAAAATAAGAACTTTATTTTATATATATGTGTGTGTGTGTATGACTTCTCTTTTTACTTGCTTTCTTGTCAAAGTTATGAAACTTGCAGCAACAAAGACCATGTATTTCTTTAGAGTATATAACATAGAATTAACCACACATTAGGATTATAAGAAATTATTATTGCTTTGATCAGAAAATTGAGGATTATTAGTTCAATTTATAATATCCCTCTAAATTCTTAATTGCACAAAAAATGGCTTATTTTTTAAAGGCTAAAAAAACATGATTATATTAGCAGGGTCAATAAACCATAGAGGGACCAGAAATAGCACAATGTAGGACTCAATTTTTCATAGAATATTCTTGTTTTAATTGTTTCAAATGTTTTATTTTCTATTTGGTCCTGGAAATAAAAATCTGGATAAAATATTATTCTGTATATGCAAAATGTATTATTTCATTATTATAAACATAAATTGTCAAAACCTTGCTGTGCAGCTTATTACCATTATTTGATTTCTCCTGGAGAGAACTAATGAAAGGGCACTCCCTAGAATTTGTAATGGTAAATTTCTGCAACAAAAAATTGTTATGCTCTATTTTTTTTCCCTCCAGAGAATATTCAATGTTCTCTCTAGCAAAGAATTCAGATGCAAGAAACCATGAAATTTTAATCACAGAAATAACCCTCTCAGCTTGGTAGTCAGCACTATCACAGAGAATAGAGATTTGCTAAGACTGGAAATCAAAGGTAATCATAATGAAGTGAGGGAAAATCGATAGTTTGAGATAGGATATCACTGGTGTTTGGCTAGATTTTAGATAAGATCCCCTGTGGAACTGGTACTGGACAATGCTGTGAGTATAAATAAAGATACTAATGACATTTCTGTGGGCCTAAGAAAATTAGAAACGAGAAGGATATCTCAATAAGAGGTGAGATAACTATGGAGTAACTCACCAAGAGAACTATCATCAAAATAAGAACACCTAAAAATGTCAATGCTCTATTTCTAAATGAGACTCAAAAATCAAAGTGAATCATATAAATGCAATGATATCTGTATTTTTCATACGGGCTTATTTGTAAAAGTAATCCAAAGCATGATGCCATGACTAAAATCACAGGAAACACAATGAAAGGACCAATGTGTTTAGAACCAATCTTTCTCATATACATGGTGCATGTCCAAAGGGGGATAGAATAAGCTGTACATTAGTATAAACAAGAGTAAAGGACAAGATCTAGAAGAATGGTGGGGAAAGCAACAAATGGAGGGTCAGAAAAGGCTAACAGCCAGTAAGAGCCTGACTGACTACAGATGTGCTCTATGGCCTCATGGGCAGCAAAGCTCATCACTATGGTTGGGAATCTCTGGGCCTACTGAATGAATATGCAACTGGCATGACGATATGGTTTGAATATGTGTCCTCTCCAAATCTCATGTTGAAATGCAGTCTTCAGTATTGAAAGGTGGTGCCTCAGTGGGAGATGTTTGAATCATGGGGGCAGATCCCTCATGAATGGCTTGTCACTATCCCATTGGTGATGAGTGAGTTGTCGCTTTGAGTTCACAGAAGATCTGGTTGTTTAAAAGTGTGTGGCATCTCCCCCACCCCTTGCTCCTGCTACTGCCATGTGAGATGCCTGCTCCCCTTTCACCTTCCATCATGATTGTAAGCTTCCTGAGGCCTCCCCAGAAACAGATGCCAGCACTATGCTTCATGTACAGCCTGCAGAACCTTGAGCCAATTAAATCTCTTCTTAAAAATTACTCAGTCTCAGGTATTTCTTTATAGCAATGCAAGAATGACCTAATATACATGGATTCCCACATTTCTTTTGCCTTATGCTAGGATTTATACTTAAATTTGGACTATGTCTACACCTCCAGCAGGTATTGAATGACTTCAGATTTTATGCTTGGAGAAATATAACGATGTAAATTCCAAGAGCCACTACAATCTCTGAAAGTCAAATTGGCTAGTTTATTTAAATAAACAAATAACTGAGAATCATAGAGTGAAAAATGCCTATGACAACAAGGAAATAAGGCTATTATCATCACAAAGAGTACATTGCATTAAAATAATTTGTTTGATATTAAAACCTATTTCATAATCATACAGTTCATGTGATGAACACAGTCTCTTATGTCTCAAATAAATATGCTTCAAATTAAATCTCCTTGACATAACCTTATCCAAAAAGTTTACTCTCCTGTTTTTTTAATTATACCAATGTCTAGTATTAAGGCAAAGAAATAAAAATCACAGATAAGTTGAAATATATACATTTATATGGATATATGGCCAGCATATATTATTTTTTCAACTTTGTTTTTAAGTTTAGAGTACTGATGGATTTTCCTAACTATATAATTCTCTAAGGAATTCTGGAATATTCAAATTCAGGCAGAAACAATAGGGGAAAACATGCCTTGAAGAAACTTAAAACCAATGATAAATTTTTGAAATGAAAATATCCCAAACTCTTACAGTTTTTTCTCAAGTGTTTTCAGTGGGATAAAAACTTTGGAAGATGGCAATATTTATTTATTTATTTATTTATTTATTTATTTATTTTAAGTGAAACCAAGTTTATTAAGAAAGTAAAGGAATAAAGAATGGCTACTCCATAGACAGAGCTGTTGGTTGCCCATTTTTATGGTTATTTCTTGATTATATGCTAACAAGGGGTGGATTATTCATGCCTCCCCTTTTTAGACCATATAGGGTAACTTCCTGACATTGCAATGGCATTTGTAAACTGTCATGGCATTGGTAGGACTGTAGCAGTGAGGACGACCAAAGGTCACTCTCATCACCATCTTGGTTTCTGTGGGTTTTAGCCAGCTTCTTTCTTTTTTTATTTTATTTAATTATACTTTCAGCTCTAGGATACATGTGCAGAATGTTCAGGTTTGATACATGGGTGTACATCTGCCATGGTAGTTTGCTGCACCCATCAACCCATCATCTACATTAGGTATTTCTCCTAATGCTATCCCTCCCCTTGCCCCCACCCTCTGACAGGTCCCAGTGTGTGATGTTCCCCTTTCTGTGCCCCTATATATTCTCATTGTTCAACTCCCACTTACGAGTGAGAACATGCAGTGTTTGGTTTTCTGTTCCTGTGTTAGTTTGCTGAGAATGATGGTTTCCAGCTTCATCCATGTCCCTGAAAACGACATGAACTCATTCTTTTTATGGCTGCGTAGTATCCCATGGTGTATATGTGCCACATTTTCTTTATCCAGTCTAACATTGATGGGCATTTGGATTAGTTCCAAGTCTTTGTTACTGTGAATAGTGCTGCAATAAACTAAACATACATGTGCATGTGTCTTTAGAGTAAAATGATTTATAATCCTTTGGGTATATACCCAGTAATGGGATTGCTGGGTCAAGTGGTATTTCTAATTTTAGATCCTTGAGGAATCACCACAGTCTTCAACAATGGTTGAACTAATTTATACTCCCACCAACAGTGTAAAAGCATTCCTATTTCTCCACATCCTCTCCAGCATCTGTTGTTTCCTGACTTTTTAATGATCACCATTCTAACTGGTGTGAGATTGTATCTCTTTGTGGTTTTGATTTGCATTTTTCTAATGACCAGTAATGATGAGTTTTTGTTCATATGTTTGTTGGGCACATAAATGTCTTCTTTTGAGAAGTGTCTGTTCATATCCTTCACCTACTTTTTGATGGGGTTGTTTGTTTTTCTTGTAAATTTGTTTAAATTCCTTGTAGATTCTAGATATTAGACCTTTATCAGATGGATAGATTGCAAAAATTTTCTCCCATTTTGTAGGTTGCCTGTTCACTCTGATGATAGTTTGTTTTGCTGTGCAGAAGCTCTTTAGTTTAATTACATCCCATTTGTCAATTTTTGCTTTTGTTGCCATTGCTTTTGGTGTTTTAGTCATGAAGTCTTTGCCCATGCCTATGTCCTGAATATTGCCTAGGTTTTCTTCTAGGGTTTTTATGGTTTTAGGTCTTATGTTTGAGTCTTTAATCCATCTTGAGTTAATTTTTGTTTAAGGTGTAAGGAAGGGGTCCAGTTTCAGTTTTCTGCATATAGCTAGCCAGTTTTTCCCAACACCATTTATTAAATAGGAAATCCTTTCCCCATTGCTTGTTTTTTGTCAGGTTTATTAAAGATCAGGTGGTTGTAGATGTGTGATGTTATTTCTGAGGCCTCTGTTCTGTTCCATTAATATATATATAGATGTTTTAGTACAAGTACCACGGTTTTTTTGTTACTGTAGCCTTGTAGTATAGTTTGAAGTCAGGTAGTGTGATGCCTCCAGCTTTGTTCTTTTTGCTTAGGATTGTCTTGGCTATACAGGCTCTCTTTTGGTTCCATATGAAATTTAAAGTATTTTTTTTCCAATTCTGTGAAGAAAGTCAATGGTAGCTTGATGGGGATGGCATTGAATCTATAAATTACTTTGGGCAGTATGGCCATTTTCACAATATTGCTTCTTCCTATCCATGAGCATGGAATGTTTTTACATTTGTTTGTGTCCTCCCTCATTTCCTTGAGCAGTGGTTTGTAGTTCTTCTTGAAGAGGTCCTTCACATCCCTTGTAAGTTGTATTCCTTGGTATTTTATTCTCTTTGTAGCAATTGTGAATGGGAGTTTGCTCATGATTTGGCTCTCTGTTTGTCTATTATTGATGTATAGGAATGCTTGTGATTTCTGTAGGTTGATTTTGTATCCTGAGACTTTGCTGAAGTTGCTTATCAGCTTAAGGAGATTTTGGGCTGAGATGATGGGGTTTTCTAAATATAAAATCATGTCATCTGCAAACAGAGACAATTTGACTTCCTCTCTTCCTATTTGAATAACCTTTATTTCTTTCTCTTGCCTGACTGCCCTGGCCAGAACTTCCAGTACTATGTTGAATAGGAGTGGTGACAGAGGGCATCCTTGTGTTGTGCCAGTTTTCAAAGAGAATGCTTCCAGCTTTTGCCCATTCAGTATATTTGCTGTGGGTTTGTCATAAATAGCTCTTATTATTTTGAGATATGTTCCATCAATACCTAGTTTTTTGGGTCTTTTTTTAGCATGAGGGGTGTACTCTCCTGTTTTTAAACTTATTAACACCTCCAAAAGGATTCAAGGGAGAAGGTTACTAGAAATTGGAATAGATGGCACTGTTGATTCATATTTTAAGAAAAGTATATCAGTATTTGATTAGAGTAAATTATAGTCTTCTTTGATGCTTTGGCACTCTTAATTTATATGTATGGTGAAAATAATTAATATACTCCAATAGTATCATTTGTCTCTAGAAACTATATTATTGGAAGCAGAAATATCAAAGGCACAAAAGGGATTCAACGTGTGGTCCACTTTTTGTTGTCGTCGTTGTTGTTGCTGTTAAGAGGCAGGGTCTTGTTCTGTCACCCAGGCTGGACTGCAGTGGCATGACCATACCTCATTGCACCCTTAAACTCCTGGGTTCAAGCATTTCTCCCAAGTAGCTAGGACTATAGGCACATGCCACCATGCTCAGTTAATTATTTTATTTTTGTAGAGAGCGGCATCTCACTATGTTTCCCAGGCTGGTCTCAAACTCCTGACCTTAAGCAATACTTCCATCTTAGCATCCCCAAATGATGGGATTATAGGTGTAAGCCACCATGCCCAGCCAGTCCTCATTTATTTATTCTATTATCTTTGTCAAATGACCGCTATGAGCCAGACACTGCTTAGGTGGTAGAAATAGATGAGTAAGTGGGCAGACAAGGTCACTGTCGTCAGTTTATATTCCTGTCTGAGGAAGAAAAACAAAGAATATAATAAAAGATCATGATAACTGCTATGATGAAAATAAGGTGATTTGATGAAGAGTAAACGAGTGGGCCTATTTTGAATAAGATAAGCAGAGCATATCTTTTTGAGGACCACACATTTAAGCTGAGACCTAAAAGATGAGAAGAACAATTCAAGAGATGAGCTAAAAAATGAAAGCAGAGACAGCAAATGCCAGTATCTGAGGGAGGGAAGAGACTGATGTCCTGGAAGAACCTGCTCTGAGGTCTATGTCCTTTTAGGATAAATTTTTTTTTTTTTTTTTTTTTTTTTTTTTTTTTTTTGAGACGGAGTCTCGCTGTCGCCCAGGCTGGAGTGCAGTGGCGCAATCTCGGCTCACTGCAGGCTCCGCCCCCTGGGGTTCACGCCATTCTCCTGCCTCAGCCTCCCGAGTAGCTGGGACTACAGGCGCCCGCCACCTCGCCCGGCTAATTTTTTGTATTTTTAGTAGAGACGGGGTTTCACCGTGTTAGCCAGGATGGTCTCGATCTCCTGACCTCGTGATCCGCCCGCCTCGGCCTCCCAAAGTGCTGGGATTACAGGCGTGAGCCACCGCGCCCGGCCTAGGATAAATTTTACCTTGACATAACCCTGTTCTCCACCTCCCCAAACAGGCTGCTTCCAAGCATTTTACATAGATGCTGAAAATCTGAAGGCAGCCTGGAGGTCTGCGTGAAGTGAAGTGCACGGGATAGAGGAGTATGAGATTATCCTGGAGCTACAATGGGGGAAGTGAGGAGGCAGAGGGCACCTAACAAGGAGTTGTGACATTCCTCAAATGCAACCAGAGTTCAAGAAGAGTTTTAATCCAGATTGTAAAGCCAAGTGTTTGAGTCTGGCCCTGGCCTCATGCGAGAATACTGTGCCTAAGCCAGAGCACTGCTTCCTCCCTCACAACTCTTAATGTCGAGGGCTGAAAGGATTGCAAATTCCACACTAAGTCTGCTGAGTTTTCAGAGGTTTATAAAATTATGGTATCACCATGATTCTTGATATTTCAGTCAGTCAGTCATTTTCAACAAAATATCACCAAACAGTAGGGAACAAGGCAAAGGAGCGCAGTGGAAATACTCCGGGTTCTTTGTGTCCTTGGAGGGCAATTATCGCCTTGATAGGGCCCTGTTCTCCACCTCTCGAAACAGGCTGCTCCTAAGACTTTAATACAAATGTGAAAAACTCAACGACTACAGGGGTCAGGAAGGGAATAGAAATGATTTAAATGGGTCTGATGGAGACTGTGGCAAACTCCGAATTATATACCCCATCTAAAGAGGTCGGGAGTTTCTCAGCTGCAACTTATTGCTACCCTGCAGGATTACAGATACATATTTTAAAGAGAAGCCAAAATCTCTATGTTAAATGCTGGAAACGAATTGAAAATTGTTTAAGTTACTGTGTGGGCCAATTTTTTTTAAAGAAAAAAGAAGAAATGTCAGTCTTGCAGCTTAGATTTGACCTGCCAGTAATGAGTTCGCAAATTCTCCCGTAAGGTACCTTTGGAAGCTCACACAAACTTCAATCCTTCCAGGCCTCCTCCTGTTTTCCTGAACCACCAATGGAGTCCTCTAAGATTTGGAAAA